>NC_000001.11:244820485-244972000 GCF_000001405.40 Homo sapiens | reverse complement strand
CTTGCTAGTTTATCTCCTAATGGCTTTTTTTTTTTTTTTTTTGGTAAAGAACAAAAATAAGCCATCCATTTTTCTGGGAAAGTTTTAAAATTATCCTTTTCTTTGTATGTAAGGGCATCTTCGTAAAGCTAATACCTACAAAATAATCCTGGCTTCTCAGATTAATATTACATAAAAATCACGGTATCCTTGTTATCAATAGAGAGATCGTTGGCAGTTTCATGTGTTTCTTCGCCGATTTTCTGTGATCACCGGAACAAGTGACTAAATATCTCAGGGTTCGTTTCTTCCCTTGTAAATATTAGCTGTTAACCTGACCACACTTGGTTCTATGCTGAGAAAAATGGTTTGAGAGGGTGTTTTGAGCACTCCAGAAAGAAAACAAAGGACGAATATTATTTTCACTTCCTACTTGTTTACCTTTACTGTTTCATGGCTTTTTGGATATTTTTGGGTGACTGCCAACTATCAAACACAATTATTTTTTAGTACCTAAGGGCATGGTAACAAAGGATCGGGTTTTAATCATACCATGAACTGAAAACAACATGAACGGTCTTGCAAATAAACGTAATCACTTTTTGGCTTCTCCGCACAGACAACACATCGATGCCTCCGAACTGGCGACCTTAAGCCTCGAAGCGCAGTCCCGCCTCTGCAGGCGGCCACCGCGCGGGGCTGGGTGGTCCCCTGGGAGAGGCCCGGCCGGCGCACAGCGGTTCCAAGATCTCAACCAGGTTTTGGTTTTTCGTCGTTATTAAAATTGCTGTTTGGGTGTGTGTCTTTTTTTTTTTTTAAGACAAGACACTAGGCCAATTGCGCGGCGCTAGCCGGCGGCGGGGCAGGCATTTCGGAGGACCGGGAAGCTCGGAGGCAGCGGCTGTGACCTCCAGACCGTCCTCCTGCGTCCTCATTAAGGAGGCAAAATGGTGGCCGCGAACGCCATCAGGCTGCGCCAGCGCGGGGTTTCGGCGCAAACAGAGGATCCCGTCAGATTCAGGCGGCCAGAACTCCTCCTCACCCAGGCCACCCCCCGGGGCCCACAGCCTGGACAGCTACGGGCGTGGCGCCTGCGGCACCGAGACCCCAGGCGAGAGTGTGGAGGCGGCGGCGGCTTCCCCGCGACCGTGAACAACGACGCCATTATCAGCACCCCCTGCCGGCGCCTCCGGCGCAGCCCGCGCAGGATGCAAGGCCCGGCCTCCGAGGGAGGGGGAAGGAGGACGGGGCGGGAGGAGGGGAAGAGGGTGAAGAGGGCGGGAGGAGAAAGAAGAAGGCGGGAGGAGGGGAGAGAGAAGAGGGAGGGAAGAGGGGAGAGAGGCGGGGCGGGGCGGGGGAGAGAGGCGGGGCGGGGCGGGGCGGAGCGGCGGGCCGGGCGGGCTACGGGGACGGGGGCAGGGCGACTGCTGCTGCCGGGTGGCCCCCTCCTCAGGCCGCCCTTTCCCTGCGGGTGGGAACTCCAGATGGACGAGGGCCCACCCCACCCGGCGCTTCCCCGTGCAGCCCGGGGTCGCGGCGGGCGGCGAGGGCAGCGGCTCCCCGGCTCCCCTACCTTACCTTCCCTGTCCTTCTCGTCCGCCATCTTGCTGCGGAGCCGGTCGCCTGGGAGATGCCTAACGATAACCTCGGCCGCGGTGTCCCGGCCTGCTCAGCGCCCCGCGGCGAGCCTGGCCTGGAGGAGGGGCCGCTCTGAATCCCGGGGGAGGAAGACCCTTGGGCGGGGCGGGGCGGGGAGGAGGCTCCGAGCGCGCGCCCTGTCCCCGTTTCGCGCCACGACCCTCGCGCTGGGGGAAGACCAGAGGCCCCGTCTGCCACCCGGCCCCCGGCCTTGTCCCTCCAGACCCGAGGCCGGAGCCGGACTTGTCCCGGGCCTAGCATGTTGCTTCATCACACGGTCCCCAACCCCTCCTTTCCCTTATTTCTCATCCATTTGGGGACAGCACGCGCGCGCACACACCCCTCGCCCCCTCCTGTCCTGTTTGTGCGACGTGGCGTTGCTCGATTTTTGTTGTTAACTGCAGATTTTGAAAAGCGCCGGAGAGCTAGGTGAAGAGCTGGGCTCCCAAGGGGGTGATAGAACCAGCCCGCGGCCCGGCCTCCTCCTCCCGCTTCCCATTCGCAGCCCGCCTCCCGCCGGGAAGCGGCCCGGCTGCTGCAGAACGGCCGCGCCTGCCCTCCCGGTTTCTCCCGTCCAGTCTTCACCGTCCTTTCCCAGAGAAAGCGACAGCACAGCCTATGACAACCGAAGCTAAAACGGAAAAACTGGGCCGGGCGCAAGAGGAAACCAGAGCCATTCGACTATTGCTAGAGGAGAGGAATAGCTGCAGGAAAACATGCGCAAAATAGCACAAACATTGCGTCGTCAAGGCTGCAATGTCTAATACAAAATAGAAGGTTCTCATAGCAACAAAAACGTGCCCATGTTGTGCTCAGTATTACATGCGTTAAAATGTTCTTAGTTGTGAAATTTGACATGACCGCTAGTTAAAGTTACAATGGAAGTTTTAAATCCCGCTTTCCGAAAACTTTGCAGCTATAGCATGAAGTTAAATTTTTGTCTTATTTTCTGGATAAGTTTACTATACTGGAACATAGTAAAGCTCTTTTTATAAAGAGCTTTGAATAAAATACCTAATGATGTGGTTGAAACGAACACCTATTTTCAAAACTAATCTTAAGTGGTATTTCAGTGCATATGTTATGTAAAAGCAATTTATAAACTAAATTTTAAGAGCCTTCAAAATACAAGGTACTCGTATTTAATGACTTAACAGTTTTAATGCTTTTATTGTTTCTATAATCTCTCAGGAAATCCTAAAACTGACTATATTTTTCTTTATTAAAATAACTTTTTCTGTAGAAGATACCCATTTGGCGCTGTGATCAGCATTCTACTTGAAATTGAATATAAACAACTGAATCATTACAAAATGGCTCATGTTAGAAGATACTTAAAACGAATACAATCTTGTACAGTAAATGTTTAACACCCCAAAATAACGAAAAGTAATTATTAGCATTCATTTATATCTAAATCTCAGTCAATATGATCTAAATATTTGTGTTTAAAGACTCCCCCTTTCCATATAGATAATGAAGGGCTTTGAAATAAGTGTAGGAAACCCTAAGTTTGGTCTCAGGCTTCCTATTCATTCACTATGCTTTTTCGTGTGCTGTTTACAGTTTCCTTTTTCTGGAATGCCTTTCCCTGCTTTTTTCCCCCGCCAACATTTCAGCTTCCCACAGACACACATTTGTGCCCTCCTGGTTGTCCTGCAGGATGACCTTTGTTTTTGTTTTTGTCTTTTGTTTTTCGAGACAGGGTCTCGCTCTGTCGTCCAGGATGGAGTGCAGTGGTGTGATCTCTGCTCACTGCAACTTCCGCCTCCCGGTCTCAAGTGACCCTCCCACCGCAACCTCCCAAGTAGCTGGGAGGAGCGGCGCGCGCCACCATGTCTGGCTAGTTTTTGTATTTTTTGTAGAGACAGAGTTTCCCCATGTTGCCCAGGCTGCTCTCAAACTCCTGAGCTCAAGCGATCTGCCGCCTGCCTGGCCCTCCCAAAGTTCTGGGATTACAGGTGTGAGCCACTGTGCCTGGCCAGGATGACCTTTTTGAAGTCACCTAGTCATTGAAGCTTTCCCTCTCAGCCTTTTCCTCTGTGGCCCCATGCTTATAGAGCCTCCCACATTGATTTGCAGTGCCTTCGTTCGTTCACTTTATTTCCACCTACCAAACAGTAAGATCTTGAAGACAGAAACGGCATTATTCGTTTATATATCCCCGGTATCTAGTACAATTTTTCTGTTTGCAATAATAAATGTCTTAAAACTTAAGAAAGGAGTAAGTCTTCTCAATGACTTTTTTTAAAAAAGACCCAGATTCAGCACTTATTGTATGTAAGACAGACCTTCCTTTTACATTACATTTTTCATCAGTAAAAGTACTGGGCCAGGCGCGGTGGCTCACGCATAATCTCAGCACTTTGGGAGGCTGAAGCGGGTGGATCACTTCAGGTCATGAGTTAAAGACCCACCTGGCCAACATGGTAAAACCCCATCTCTACTAAAAATAGAAAAATTAGCCGAATGTGGTGGCTCACGCCTGTAATCCCAGCTACTCGGGAGGCTGAGACAGAAGAATCGCTTGAACCCAGGAGGCAGAGGTTGCAGTGAGCCGAGATCCGCCACTGCACTCCAGCCCAGATGACAGAGCAAGACTCCATCCCCAAAAAAAGGTACTAGTATTTCATGTTAATAAAATGGAATTCTTATATAAACATATATAAATTAAAAATTATTTTAAGAGTTGAACAGATTTCTCTGCAAATCCCCCTATATTTTTATATTTTTTAAACTAACTGTATTCAGCAAAGCTTTTTATTATTTAATTTATTCCAAACCACATTAATCAGTATTTCTCTGAACTCCTACAGCACATTTAAAACAGTACTGTTTCTCTAGGTGTGGGTGAGTAAAAAAATATTTAATATATGTTAATTAACTTCCGCATCTCCTGACCCCACTAAGGTTTGAATAGGAGCCTCCCCCTTTATAAACCCTTTTTATATACCCACACTACCTAGCCTAATTGGGGCACATATTAGCTGCTTCATACATACTTTTCAACTGCCTAATTTGCTGATTAGGCATAAAAGTATATAATTCTGGAAAAGTCTCCACAAGGTGAAAATGATTATCCAAATAATAAAGGCCCACAATGCCAGTGAGTACATTATCTGCATTATGCTGATATTTGACTCCTTTCAACTCTCTTTGGTTGTAGAAACATGACCGATGATTATATTACACTTTTAACTCTTTAAATATTATTAGCTTGCTTTGGACTGTGGAAAACTAACTACAATCATTTTTATTCCTCAGAATATATTTTGCGGCCGGGCACGGTGGCTCATGCCTGTATACCCAGCACTTTGGGAGGCCGAGGTGGGCAGATCACGAGGCCAGGAGTTCGAGACCAACCTGGCCAATATGGTGTAACCCCGTCTCTACTAAAAGTACAAACATTAGGTGGGCATAGTGCTGCAAGCCTGTAGTCCTAGCTACTCAGGAGGCTGAGGCAGAAGAATCACTTGAACCCAGGAGGCAGAGGTTGCAGTGAGCCAAGATCATGGCATTGCACTCCAGCCTGGGTGACAGAGCAAGACTCCATCTTAAAAAATATATATATATATATAGATAGATAGATAGATAGATGTATATATACATATACGTATACATATACGTATATGTATACGTATACATATATGTAGAGTATATATACATCTACGTATATGTATACTCTACATATATGTGTATATATACATATATACTCTACATATATACACATATATATGTATATGGCTTCTGAGCTATAGCTTGAGTAACTTGTTAACTTGTAATACTTGAGTAACTTGTAATATTGTATGCTGCCAAAGCATTTTTTCACTTAAACATCTCATCGTGATTTTCAGAAATTTAGAATCGGAAAATCGTTTTTGATCCCACTCATGGATATATAAACTTAGGGCTAAATCAGAAAAGCAAGCACATAGTTTTAGACAATGACACTTATTTGCTTAATTACTCTATGGAGCCAGGTGGATATGTACAGGTTATGTCCTTTTGCATGCTTGAATTTATAGTGAGTTGAATCTGTTCAGACAGCCATCAGTGATGTGTCCGTGAGGAACACAGAAAATGTTTCTTTTTGTTTAAAGGAATTTATTTATTTACTTATTTTTACTTTTTTTTAATCATACTTTAAGTTCTAGGATACATGTGCACAACGTGCAGGTTTGTTACGTATGTATATATGTGCCATGTTGGTGTGCTGGACCCATTAACTCGTCGTTTACATTCGGTATATCTCCTAATGCTATCCCTCCCCTCTCCCCCCAAAAATGTTTCTTTTGAATGCAGTTGACTCAGTTACCTAAGATGTGAGTGAAGTGGAAAGGGTAAGTGGTGGGAATAATGCAAAATGATAGTTTAAAAATCCTTCATGCCCTGTTTACTTTCCTAATATGGAGATAATTGAAATCTGGACTGGGAATAATTTTTTTTTAAAAAAACTGGATTTTCCTTGGGCATTGCCATTTACTAATCTCATGATCCTGGGCGAGTCATGTAATCTCTTTAAAACTTATTAACTCATAAAAATAGAAGTAACAATGTCCAAACTTCCTATTTTAGAGTTTTCACGAGGCGCAATAGATGTAACTGAAAGCTTCGAGAAGTTTAAAGGACTTGCAAGGAAATCTACTGAAATAAGCCCCATTCCACCTGGGCAGAAGCACTCAGACGCCAAACCCCACCTTCTGTCCTGAAATTCACCTTCCACTAGGAGAGTTTGCTTTTCTAATGCTTCAAATGCACAACGGGAGATGTTCTGACTTCAGGGTTTCTACCCTTCACTGCTGTAATCTGCTGCCTGTATGACATGCGATCTGGTTTACACCGTACAGCTTATCATCTTCAGCTTGTGGCCCCTTCCTTGTTTCCACCTTGCTATTCAGGAGGGCCTGTAAGGGTATCTGGATTCCTTGAGCTGTAGATGCAGGACAGTGAGAGGGAGGGAGGTAGTTCTCTGGTCTAATTTCAGTTTCCTAACTGAGGGTACATGCCTTCCCTGAATGATCATCATCAAAAATATCCAGCCCTTCATGGAAGACACCACCCCTCCTCATAGATGAGTCCCTGAGCTTATGATCTCAAAAGGAAATCCTTATCAGAATACAACAGAATAAGGACATAGTTTCATTACAGTTATAATAATAAAAGTAGTTCTTCTTTATTAAGCTGCATGAGGTACTTTGTATTGTATTAGTATTCACGTTTCACAGATAAAAATACCACATCTTCACATAAATGGCTTGGTTAAAGCTCACAGCCAGTAAATAAGAGAGCTGGTTAGGAATCTAGTTCTGATTTCAGAGTCACTGTTTTGTCTGTCTGTTTGTTTGTTTGTTTCTTTGTTTGAGACAAAGTCTCGCTCTGTTGCCCAAGCTGGAGTGCAGTGGTGGGCTCACTGCAGCCTTGACCTCCCAGACTCAAGTCATTCTCCCACTTCAGCCTCCCAAGTAGCTGGGACTACAGGTGTGCTAACCAGGATTAACCATGGCCAGCTAATTTTTTATTTTTTGTAAAGATGGAGTCTCCCTATGTTGTCCTGACTGGTCTTGAACTCCTGACCTCAAGCAATCCTACCTCAGCCTCCTAAAGTGCTGAGATTACAGGCATGAGCCACTGGGCCCAGCCATCACTGTTTTTCTGCTTCTTTATAAAATAAGATATTGTTAGATCCTTTCAATAACCCAAATATTTAGAGAAGAATGTTAAGAGCAAACATTCTCCACAGAATTAGTCACCTCTCTCTCTGCTTTTCTTTCTTTTTTACTGCTTCAAAATATCAACCCAAGCATCTGGCAGAGACTCTTAGAGACTTGAAAGAACCAGATAGTGGCATGCACTTTGTCCTCGTCTGGAAAGACAAAGAGGGAAACTAAACGTCTGGCCGGATGCTGGCTCTTGGAAGGCAGGAGTGGAGGCGAAATTTACTCCTCTACCATGAGCTAGTAGTGGGCTCTCGCCTTCATACTTCTCTTTCCTTCCCGCCTTTCTGCAGCTTTAGGTTTCAGGCCTCTCAGTCAAGAGGGAGAAATTTAATTGTGTTAAATTCTTGGCCCTGGACAAGATCATTTTCAGTGCCAAAGCTCGTTCAGGCTTTCCAGGGAGACCCGGCACAGGAAGCCCGGGTGGCAGCATTTGTGGGCAGCTTGCGAGTAACACTTACATGAAACCACAGCTCTTAAAGCATTTGGAAAAATCACACGCTGGCCCTGTTTCTCTCAAAAGCACATGTTCCTTTATGTTTCTCTTTAATATAGACCTTGACACAGCAAGTCACGATTTAATTCATTACTTAAACACTTCCTATCCCAACCAGCATTTTTCAGGCACACTTATTGCCAGGCTAAGTCTCTGTTCTTTATTTATTGAAAATAAAACCTTAAAGGTGAAGGATGGTAGCTGATCCAAAGATTCAATACGTGTTTATGGTTGCTCACACGACCTCTTCGTCCTCATGTGTAAAAATAGAGGAAAAGTGTAAAAATATGCTGCTAATTGATTTTGGAATGTTTTGTTAGTTCCAGCTCCAAAAATAAATCTTTGAAATTAGGTTTCATTTATGTTAACATTTACATCAGGAGATAATGCTGTATAGAAGAACAAGGAAATGGTCTTAGGAGGTAAAGGGGTCCAGGATTGAATCTCAGTCCACTACTCATTAGCTAGAAAACTTTGGACATGTTACTTCCTCTCTGTAACATCAGTTTCCCCATCTGTAAAATGGAGATAAGAAGATGAGTCACCATTTTTGTTTTTGTTTTTTTGAGGCAGTCTCACTCTGTCACTCAGGCTAGAGTATAGTGGTGCAATCTCGGCTCACTGAAACCTCTGCCTCCTGGGTTCAAGCAATTCTTGTGCCTCAGCCTCCTGAGTAGCAGAAATTACAAGCGTGTGCCGCCATGCTCTGGCTGGTCTCAAATTCCTGACCTCAAGTGATCCATCCAACTCAGCCTCCCACAGTGCTGGGGTTACGGGCGTGAGCCACTGTGTCC
Source organism: Homo sapiens (assembly GCF_000001405.40). Classification (NCBI taxonomy): domain Eukaryota; kingdom Metazoa; phylum Chordata; class Mammalia; order Primates; family Hominidae; genus Homo; species Homo sapiens. The sequence goes on along the minus strand of NC_000001.11, from coordinate 244,963,379 downwards.
GGCCTTGATTCACCATTTTGGACATGGAGGCAATCTATAGTTCTCTCTTACTTGTGGCTTGATTTGATTTTAATTTTAATTTATTTATTAATTTTGTGAGACATAGTCTCACTCTGTCACCCAGGCTGGAGTGCACTGGCACCATCTCGGCTCACTGCAAACTCTGCCTCCTGGGTTCAAGCAATTCTCATACCTCAGGCTCCCAAGTAGCTGGAATTACAGGCATGCAGCCACCACGCCCAGATAATATTTGTATTTTCAGTAGAGATGGAGGTTTCACCATGTTGGCCAGGCTGGTCTTGAACTCCTGGCCTCAAATGATCCACCCACCTTGGCCTTCCAAAGTGCTGGGATTACAGGTGTGAGCCACCGCACCAGGCCTTGATTTACTTTTTCTGGACTATGTCCGTGTCACCCTCCAGTGACTCGAGGGCCAATAGTGGTAATGTTTGGAGCATTTACTGTGTTCTAGGAAGTATGTCAAGCATTTTACATGGACTATCTTATGTAATCATCACAATAGCCCTGTAAGAAATATACTAATATTTCCATATGAAACATGAGGAAACCAAGAGTTAAGATCCCCAAATTGCTTCTCTGAAAGGCAAAGCCTCTCTACTGCTCAGCCCCAAGAGTCTCTTCCAGGTTGTGCCTCAGAATCTTACTCTGGATTTTTTCTTTTCCTCCGTGTATCAAGCCCCAGGGGCTTAGCCTGCTTTTCTCCCCCGGAGGGAGGCATACACCATCCAATGGGGTGACAGATGAGGGGCACTGTGAAGGGGGCTAGAGTCCCCCAATCTTTCTAGCTTCCACCCTCCTTGTTACCCTTGAATGTAATCATGTACTTTTTTAAAAAAAAAAAATTATTTAAAGAGTTTTACTGCTGAGCTATGGGGAAAGAGATAGGATAATAAAATTAGCAAGCAGAAATATTATAAAGGTTCTGGAATGTTAGAAAATTTTTACAAACATGGCTCCTGATTCAGAAAGTTCGTGAGTCCCTCTGAGATGGTAAGAGGAGATGCCTGACACGTGGCACACGTGGCTTCTCTGTCACCTGACCATTCCAATGCTGCCAGCACTATAATTAATTTTCCTTCCCAGAGTTTCCCCAGATGAATGGTAGTCCATGAGGCTCTGACAGGACAAAGGAAAAATATCCTGGGTCTGAATAAACAGTTATATGTATACAGTATGTAGATTTTTATTTTTATTTTATTATTATTATTATTATTATTATGAGACAGAGTCTCTCTCTTTCGCCCAGGCTGGAGTGCAGTAGCATGATCTCGGCTCACTGCAACCTCTGCCTCCTGGGTTCAAGTGATTCTCCTGCCTCAGCCTCCCAAGTAGCTGGGATTACAGGCATGCGCCACCATGCCTGGCTAATTTTTGTATTTTTAGTAGAGACGGGGTTTTGCTATGTTGGCCAGGCTGGTCTCAAACTCCTGACCTCAAGTGATCCACCCTCTTCAGCCTCCCAAAGTGTTAGGATTGCAGACATGAGCCACTGTGCCCGGCAGTATGTGGATTTTTAAATTGCAATACGCATTCAACAAGCAGATAAGTAGTAAAAACTGAATTTGTACTATGTTTTATATTATGAGCAATTACAATACTATTTTGAGCCTTAAAATTGACCAGAAAATTGAGCCAGACACGGTGGCTCATGCCTCCTTTGGGAGGCTGAGAGACAGGAGGATTGCTTGAGGCCAGGAGTTCGAGGTTAATGATCTTGCCACTGTACTGCGTACCTGTGTGACAGTGAAACCTTGTATCTTATTTTTTTAAAAGGTTACAGTAGAGGTGGGGCAAGGAAAAAAATTGAGCAGAGAATGACTCAATGCAGTACCTGACCTTGACTGTGCAGGCCTGGGTTATGGACACTTACACTTAATAAGATGCTTAAGAATAAAAATCAGTTGAGACTAAATATTCTTGTGAGTTGGAAGCTAACTCCTTCCTAAAGTCCCACATTACCTAGTAACTACCCTAGAACAAGCATCTGCAGCCCCATTTTCAACAGAGAACGTCACTACGCAATGCAGTGCAAACACGTAACAGTAAAACATCTTCACAGTTTGGCTGGGTTTTTCTCTACACTCTTCCCCCACCCTTACCCCCCGCCCCGCCTTTTTTTTTCAGGTCAGCTATATTTTCAAGGAGGTAAGGGAAGGTGTGAGACTTGGAAATGAATAGTGGTGACAGGAGTGAGAAGTTAGAAAAGGAAGTTATTTTTAGGAAGGCTTGGATGGAAGGGAAAAGTGAGTTGCATTTGGGGCATGGAGCTAGGGGAAGTCAGGCCAAGGGACAGCTGGGTAACTGTTGAAGGGTTTACTTCATTCTCTAGTGCCTCTCATTTCTTACATATTCGTAATCCTTCCTCACCAAGTAGTAAAAGGAAGGCAGGCACAAACTCCTGGGGGGGCTCTTGTTCATTTTAGCCTCCCTCTCCAGTCTTGGAGGGGGACGATTCACTCGGCATTCAGAAAATGCTTCTGGAGCACCTACTAGGTGCAGGACTGTCTTCTAGGTCCAACAGGGAGTACACAAACCTGATAACTGCTCTGCAGTTGCTGAGGTCCTTTTACAGCTGGTAACAATGACCCACAAACTTGAGACACTCACCCACCAAAACTACATTCTCCTTCAAATAGTATACAGCATGTATACTATGCCCTCATCATGGCCACAGCATACCCAGCAATGGTTTGTATCTACCTTTTTTGAAAATTATCAACTGGCAATCCAAAATGCCATAGAAGTGTCATCAGAATAGACTAATAGTATCTTTCCCAGGAGACAAGTGGTGAGGTATTCCTATTTGTAAAAAGCAAGGGATTAGGGATTTAAGTAATTTGGCTAAGTTTATTCACTAAGTTATTTTATTTCGGTGCCTTAAGTGGGTCTCAAGGCCTTTGAATTTGTAGACCTTTAAGTAGAATATTAACTAGAAATTTCATACTAGTTGTGGCTTATTTGAAACCAAATAACTAAACCTAGCACTTTATTTTTTTGCCTTGATCGTACGTTTTTCATGTTATATGATTAGGGCAAATACAATTTTTTAAAAAAAGGATATAACCAAGAATTTAATACTTTTAAAACTAATGGCAACAAACACAAAACCTTCCCTAAATCATCTTAAAAAACCATGCCTATGCAGAATTGAGGCTCCTGTATAGCTTCTTTTTAACGCCTTTCTCTTTAAAATATGAGTGCTCATAAGACTATGACCCTGTCTTTCTTTGTATTGTTATTGTTTAATGATCACTTTAACAATGAACGGCAACGATGGGAAAGCCAGGCCCTAGACACCTGGATTTTATTTCTATTTTTGCCCCAGTGTCATTTAGGAATGTTAGGCCTCTACGCCCCCCTTTCTTTAAAACGGGTATGACATTTTTACCACTTAATACTTATGCTTTGAAATCTTAGGATAATCATTGTCTATTTTCCGTAAGTATCACCTAGTAATAACACTAATAGAATTTGGGGATCAGCCGGGCGCGGTGGCTCACGCCTGTCATCCCAGCACTTTGGGAGGCCGAGGCGGGCGGATCATGAGGTCAGGAGATCGAGACCATCCTGGCCAACACGGTGAAACTCCGTCTCTACTAAAAATACAAAAAATTAGCCAGGCGTGGTGGCGGGCGCCTGTAGTCCCAGCTACTCGGGAGGCTGAGGCAGGAGAATGGCGTGAACCCGGGTGGCGGAGCTTGCAGTGAGCCGAGATCGCGCCCCTGCACTCCAGCCGGGGCGACAGAGCGAGACTCCGTCTCAAAAAAAAAAAAAAAAAAAGAATTTGGGGATCAAAAATGTGAAATAGGATCACTGTGTTGATAATGTTAAGGGCAAATTTCACTTCCAATCCAGGGCCTAGACACCTACATGCCCTCCATATCTGTACTAAACCATAAATGGGCCAAACTGTCCAACCTTGACCGCTCCTGGCCCTTAATGCTTCATCATAGTCCGTAGCAAAACACTATTGCTAAGATAAAGTAGAAGAGAGTGATCTCAGCTAGACACATTCCTATTTTTAAAGAGGACTATGCTTCAATATCATTCTATCTTTGCTTTTACTATTAGACTTTATCTTTAGAGCAGATTTAGCTTTACAAAATAATTAAGCAAAATGTAGAGTTCCCCTATACCTCCTTTCTGCCTGCCTCCCCACCGGTCTCCCCTATTAGTAACATTTTAAATTAGTGTAGGCTGGGCACGGTGGCTTTTGCCTGTAATCCCAACACTTTGGGAGGCCGAGGTGGGCGGATCACGAGGTCAGGAGTTTGAGATCGGGCAGGCCAACATGGCAAAACCCCGTCTCTACTAAAAACACAAAAAATTAGCTGGGCGTGGTGGTGTGCACTTGTAATCCCAGCTACTCCAGAGGCTGAAGCAAGAGAATCACTTGAACCTGGGAGATGGAGGTTGCAGTGAGCTGAGATCACACCATTGCACTCCAGCCTGAGTGACAGAGCAAGAACCCCCTCTCAAAAAAAAATAAACAAATGAATTAGTGTAACCCATTCTTTTTATTCTATAACACTCACCCGTGCACGCACGTATGTGTGGGTGTGGTCTTGGACTTCAGGCCTCAGGCAATCCTCCCACTTCAGCCTCCTGAGTAGGTGGGACTACAGGCACACACCACTGAATCCAGTTTATTTGATAATTTTTAAATAATTAGAGAGAGCTATTGCTTCCGCAAATAAGAAAATAAGTATTTTAGTGAGCTTAAGCAGTCAGACCTATTAGCTACCAACAGAAGAATTACTTTGGCACCATTTATACCCAAACTAAAATCATTGTATTTGATAGGAATGCTTATATTTAAATAGCTGTTCAGCTAGTTGGGGGCATAATTTGCAACAAACATGGTAAAGAAAGCCCTAAACTTTTCACACTAAACCGTAGACTGAGGCTCTACTCCCAACTCTTCCCTCAGCTGGTGACTTTGGCTGAATCTCTGTGGAACTCTGAGTTGGATTAGAAAATCTAAAAGAGACCTTTCCAGTTCAAAATTTTATTAATTGATTAATACTTTGTTTTCCAAAGTGAGTGGAAGGCTATTTTATGTGGCTCATGATTTTAATTTATTTATATAGTTGTTTTTATTTTAAGGTATATTTAAACATCTGCCTCAAACTCAGATTTCACAGATATCATTGCTTACGATGAGACTATGTTTTAAAAATTGGACAATTTATGTCAAATTAAAGAAAATGTTGGTATCTAATAGTACAAGTAACATGGACCTGACAAAAATCAGAAGTGAAGGGTGGCTAGGTACAGTGGCTTACACATGTAATCTCAGCGCTTTGGGAGGCCAAAGGCAGTAGGGTGGCTTGAGTCCAGGAGTTCGAGGCTGCAGTAAGCTATGATCATGCCACCGCACTCCAGCCTGGGAGGAGACAGAGAGAGAGAAAAAAGAAGTAAAGTGTATTAGTTCATTCTCGAATTGCTGTAAAGAACTACCCAAGACTGGATAATGTATAAAGAAAAGAGGTTTAACTGACTCACAGTCCAACAGGCTGTACAGGAAGCATGGCTGGGGAGGCCTCAGGAAATTTACAATCACGGCAGAGGGTGAAGGGGAAGCAGCACCTGTGATGAGGCTGGAGAAAGGGGAAGAGGGAGCAGGGGGAGGGACTACACACCTTTAAACAACCAGATCACGAGAGAACTCACTCACTATCACGAGAACAGCAAGGGGGAAATCCACCTCCATGATCCCATCACCTCCCACCAGGACCCTCCTCCAACATGGGGGATTACAATTCGACATGAGATTTGGGCGGGGACAGAAATCCAAACCATATCATAATGTATAACTGAAAAAATTCAGGAAATACTGGATTAATTAATATATTCATCCATCCAAGACATCCATCTCCACGTCGAAGAGAGCTGTGTCCCAGAACTCTTTTTTTAAACCTAAATAATTTGGCTCAATTAATGAACAAGTACCTTGGACTCTACAGGTGAAAGAAAGCACAATAAGAAAAGTATTCGGTTGGTGCAAAAGTAATTGCTGTTTTGCCATTAAAAGTAATGGCAAAAACCGCAATTAATTTTGCACCAACCTAATACTATATCAGAGAAATGCTTGCAAGTTAAGTAGCACAGACCAGGAGCGATTAAATCTGATTCCAAAATCCCTCCAACAGTTCCTGAAACTAGACAAAGTTTACAGGGCCAATTTGCAAATAAAGAGAAGGGCTGAATTAACCGGTCTTAACTTTTTTCATGGTATAACAATTTCCTTATATTATGTGGCATATGTAATCTGACATATTAACCATGAACTTATCCAAGTATTCAAGTTCATCCATAGCTCTTTCCTAAGTAAAATGCTGTCATGATTCTATCTTTAGGCAACCTTATTCCCTGCAGCACCAACTGGCCTTGCATCTGGGAGGACAGCAGAAATTTCTTTTTACATTTTTTCATTATTTATTTATTTATTTTATTGAGACAGGAGTTTCACTCTGTTGCCCTGGCTGGTCTCGAACTCCTGGGCTCAAGCGATCCTCCTGCCTTAGCCTCCCAAAGTGCTGGGATTACAGGTGTGCTCCACCGTGCCCAGCTTAGAAATTTGACTCTTATTTCCATTTGAGATTTCCTTCCCTTACCTCAAGTATCTAAAGCATGTTTTGTTTGTTTGTTTGTTTTTGTTTTTTGTTCTTTTTTCAGAGACAGAGTTTCACTCTGGTTGCCCAGGCTGGAGTGCAATGGCATGATCTTGACTCACTGCAACTTCCACCTCCCAGATTCAAGCGATTCTCCTGCTTCAGCCTCCCCAGTAGCTGGGATTACAGGCATGCGCCACCACACCCGGATAATTTTTGTATTATTAGTAGAGATGGGGTTTCTCCATGTTGGTCAGGCTGGTCTCAAACTCCCAACCTCAGGTGATCAGCCCATCTCGGCCTCTCAAAGTGCTGAGATTACAGGCGTGAGCCACCGCGCCTGACCAGCATGTGGTGTTTCTTTAATCCTCATGTGGACCATATAAGGGCAAAAAGAATAATGCGTCTTATTCATCCTTATAAGCCATATACCTTTGTTCAATGTCGGAAACAAATACTTGTTGAGCCAAAAATTTAGATAACTTAATTATGAATAAAGCATGATCCGCTTCTGCCGAACATACACTTAAGATATCAGTCATTTGCAAGTTTCATATGTTCAGTTTTCTGGATTTTTCCGTGTCCTAACCATAAGAAGTCAGAAGGCAAAGAATTTGGAGCATATGTCTCAGTTCCTCTACATGAGTTACAATATAGTGCCCTACCCCCTCAGCTCTTTTAGAGAGTGGACAGCAGGCACTACACGTAAACAATTATTTCTGCGGTGTGCAAAGCTGTCATTGCGATACCTGCTATTTGATGCAATGTCCTGTATTCAAAGATTCCTTTACTAATCTCCTATTTAAGTTTGGGCAGTCTTCACTGATGTATGCTGATTGTTTCTTTGTCAGAAAGTAAAACCTTTTTTTTTTCCTTAGCTTCTAGGAAAATCAGTCCTCAATTACAGTAATCCGCTTATCTCAAGTATTTAGTAATCTCTTGCCTCTGTTACTTTTAGAAAATGGTAATAGCTAATGTTTAGAATGCTATGTGCTAGGATCATGGCTAGCATATAGGACTTTAACAGCCACAATGACTCTATGAAGTGTATACTATGACATTTTAGGACACCGTGACCTAGAGAAGCGAGACTTCTTGTCCAAAGACCTGCAGTTAGTATTGACCAAACACAAGTAGCCTGACTCCAACACCTGCACTGCTAACCACTCTCCTGTGTTTTTATCCTCAATTATTCTATTTCACATGGTGTTTTACAAATAAATATATTTCAAGCTTTTGTTTTTAAAAAAAGGAGAAAGTTATTGATCCTAAATTATCAATTGTGTCATAAGTCTTTCTGTAGGTTTTTTTGTTGTTATTTTGGTGTTTTGTTTTGTTTTTTTTAAGACAGAATCAGTCTCGCTTTGTCGACCAGGCTGGAGTGCAGTGGCGCGATCTCGGCTCACTGCAGTCTCTGCTTCCCGGGTTCAAGCAATTCTCCTGCCTCACCCTCCCGAATAGCTGGGATTACAGGCACGTGCCACCACGCCCAGCTAATTTTTTGTATTTTTAGTAGAGACAGGGTTTCACCATGTTGGCCAGAATGGTCTCGAACTCCTGACCTCAGATGATCCGCCCACCTCACCCTCCCAAAGTGCTGAGATTACAGGCGTGAGCCACCGAGCCTGGCTCATTTTTTGTATTTTTAGTAGAGAGGGGATTTCACCATGTTGACCCGGATGGTCTCGAACTCCTGACCTCAGATGATCCACCCGCCTCGGCCTCCCAAAGTGCTGGGATCACAGGCGTGAGCCACCGCCCCGGCCTGCTTTGGTGTTTTTAAAAATATGGAAAGCTTCATGAATTCATGTATCATCCTTGCTCAGGGACCATGCTGATCTTCTCTGTATCATTCTTCTTTTATATTTATAATGGATCTGCTTTTATGTTAGTATCCCATGGAAAGTTTTATTTGGTGTGATGTGCCATTACTCCAGTTTATAATAGACATCCCTCAGTCATTCTCTTCTTGACGTACATGGAACAAGACTATGTGATTTAAGGATATACATTTCATGGCTTCCTCCCTAAATAGTGACACCCACAGCTGAAGCACCCACCCTAGCAACTGAGAGAAAGTAATTGTGTGCTCCAAACAACAGTTTAAAAGTAGGAGGCTGAGGGAGAACCTAAGCTCCACGCCTTTTCCTGAGTCCTTGGCACAGTGATTGCAGTTTTATCTGGCATACCAGTTCCCGGGGTTTCAAATGACAGAATGGCAGCATTAACCCAACTCTCTAAGGCTGCCACTGTAAATTGACTGAGCACAGAGGGTATATAGCTTCTGTCCCCATCCTTTCTAGTTATCTACCAGTCTAGCCATCTGTGTATCTGCACCCCAAATATTTTAAACATTAACCATCCTCTCTCTTACACCTAAAAATGTTGAGGAACTATATATTGTTGTAGTGTATCTAGTACGTGCTAATAAGTACCAAAATCTCAAAATTAATAGGTTTGTAAATGGTGCTATTGCAGATAAATAGAATGTGTCATCTTAGTTTATTTATTTGCATGCATATGTATATGCATGTATGCATATATATGTGTGCATGTTTTCTGCTATAGAGAATAGAACAAACCTGAAATGGAGGTTGGAGAATTTTATCCACATGTAGAATCAGTGTGTGCCTGCGCTTCCTTTTCTCTGTTGCAACCACTGTCAACTGCTTTCCATGACTTAGTATCTTAGATTGAATTTCTGCTCTTGCTATGTTTAGAATCTATTTTTAACTTGGCCAACTGATTTACTATGGAGCATGTGAGCGTTGCTATTTTAAAATATATAATAGTTGTCCCCAGAACCCGCTAAAAACTCTATAGAAAAACCATTGTGGGCCCGTCCCATTCCATGGCACATTTTCCAGAATGTAGGGTAATGATTTTAAAACAAAATAAGCATTTACTTAGTTCCTAACGTGTATCAGGCAACAGGCTGTGTGCTTATTTATGTTTTCTTAGTTAATCCTCAAAAAAATCCTGTGTTGGTAGAGATTTCTTGCCTTACCAAGCACATTGTAACCCTGCATGTAAGTATGAAGCTGTGTACTGAGAGTAAAGATCGTGGGTATTCATGCCAATCCATCCTGAATTCACATCCTACCTTTGCCACTTGTTAGCTACGTGAACTTCAGCAAACTACCAAACCTCTCTGAGACTCAGGTTTTTCATTTGTAAAATAAGAACAATAATACTTCCTTGCAGATTGTTATGAAGAAATATTGATGGAGTTGACGTAGCATATTATGCACTTCTACAGGGTCTGGCACAAGCAGTAACACAGGAAAAAGTAGTTACTGCTATTCTTTTTTTTTATTATTCTGAATTTTTTTCGTGTCCTGGAAAAGAAAAAAAAAATTCAAAGAGTTTGGAAGATGCAGGTTAAAGTAGCATGTAGTTAAAGGGTCACTACACTGCTCCTAGAACTCTTCGACCTGGGCAGTTTCAATTTGAGCGGCTGGAAGCTGTAGTAATCCAGTGTGGCTTTTGAACAACTGCCAGGCCTTTCCGTTGGGGCCTTTCGCCCCTGGGAGTCTTCAGACATCTGGAGGAACTTCATGAGTAGTCCCTGGTTATTGTTTAACAGAATATTAGCTTTGAACAGGTGTGTCTTTGCCTGCTGGGTCTCAACGCAACTTATGAAGAAGCAACTCGTCATACACCTACAGGGCAAATTCTTGGTTCTTATATCTGCATCCAACTGGGGCTGGGTTAAAAACCACGTGTAATGATTTCAGAATCCCTACAGTGCTCTCTAGGAGACCAACTGGGTGCTTTCTGGATCAAGGGCCCAACGAGCTTTTCTGGATGGTCTTGAGATGGTGCCTTTTGACTTTGAGTTTTCCCTGAATGCCAACCAATACAACAGATTTGGTCTATCTCCTCTGCTCAAGTGGCTCTTTAAGTTTGGTTTTCTTTACTGCCAGCTATGGAACTATTACATTACGAGACATTGATACAGTTTCTTCAGTTTAAAGGCAGGAGTTACGAAACCTTGGCTACTGAGGTTGACGTGGAAGCAGGAAGGGGTCTTATTTTGGCTGGGTACCTACTATAGTGCCAGGAACTTCACAAGGGAGGTAATACCATTGCACCAGGCAAGTTGGGGGAACTTTTCTCCCAACACAACTATATTTGCTTAGCATCAAATCTCATATTTAGCTTATTTCTGTTTTCTTTTCTCTTTCTCTTTCTTTTCCTTCCTTCCTTCCTTCCTCCCTTCCTCTCTCCCTCCCTCCCTCCCTCCTTTCTTTCTTTCTTCTTTCTTTCTTTCTTTCTTTTTCTTTCTTTTTCTTTCTTTCTTTCTTTCTCTTTCTTTCTTTCTTTTTCTCTCCTTCTTTCTCTCTTTCTTTTTTCTTTCTTTCTTCTTTCCTTTTTAAGGCGAGGTCTCACACTGTCACCCAGGCTGGAGTGCAGTGGCATGATCATGGCTCACTGCAGCCTCTACCTCCCACGCTCAAGTGACCTTCCCACCTCAGCCTCCCAAGTAACTGGGACTACAGGCTCATTCCACCACACCCAGCTAACTTTATGTTTATTTTTTGTAGGATGAGGACTCACTATGTTGTCCAGGCTGGTCTCAAACCCCTGGACTCAAGCGATCCACCCACCTCAGCCTGTCAATGTGCTGGGATTACAGGCCTGAGTCACCACGCCAGGCCTTTCATAGTAGTTTAAAAGCAAATTGTTTTATATGACTATGGCAAGAAATAAATCATTTTCTTCTGGTTAACTAAACAAAGTGAAAAGAAATTCTGAGCCATCATCCATTGAGTGTCTACTGATAATCTATGTCTCCTGGCTGGCGTGCAATGGCTCAGGCCTATAATCCCAACAATTTTGGAGGCTGAGGCAGGCAGATTGTTTGAGCCGGAGTTCAAGACCAGCCTGGGCAACGTGGCGAAACCCGTCTCTACTAAACATGCAAAAAATTAGCCGGATGTAGTGAGTGGCACACGCCTGCAGTCCCAGCTACTTAGGGGGCTGAGATGGGAGGGTCGCTTTTTTTTCTTTTTAGACAAGGTCTCACTCTGTCTCTCAAGCTGGAGTGCAGTGGCACAATTATAGCTCACTGCAACATCAAACTCCTGGGCTCAAGCGATCCTCTTGCCTCAGCCTCCTGAGTAACTAGGACTACAGGTGTGTGCCACCACGTCTGGCTAATTTTTGTATTTTTAGTAGAGACAGGGTCTCCCTGTGTTGCCCAGGTTGGTCTCAAACTGCTGGCCTCAAGTGATCCTCCCACCTCAGCCTCCCAAAGTGTTGGCATTATAGGCATGAGCCACTGTGCCCGGCCAAAATTTTTAATATCTCTCTCTTGTGCACAATCCTGTTTAGAAAACTCTTGTTTTATTTGCCTTAAATAGGCAGTCAGGGTTTATGTAAATTGTTGATTGTTCATATACAATTTTATCAGCAACAATCAAATATACAATCACAAATCTTATACAGTTGCCCAAACTATTCTAAAAAAATAGATTTTGAATTTTAATGTCTAAATCTAGCTTACTAGCCAGGCATGGTGGCTCATGCCTGTAATCTCAGCACTTTGGGAGGCCAAGGCAGGCAGGTCACCTGAGGTCAGGAGTTTGAGACCACCCTGGCCAACATGGTGAAACCCCATCTCTACTAAAAATATAAAAATTAGCTGGGTGTGGTAGCGGGCATCTGTAATCCCAGCTATTCAGGAGGCAGAGGTAGGAGAATCGCTTAAACTCAGGAGGCGGAGGTAGCAGTGAGCCGAGGCTGTGCCACTGCACTCCAGTCTGTGCAACAGAGCAAGACTCTGTCTCAAAGTCAGTCAATCAATCAATCAATCAATATAGCTTACTATCCTGTTCATTGTATCTAAAAAGTGTCCGTGTTTAAAATTTTGGTGTTCTTGGTAAAATATTTGCAATGAATTGGGCATCTTTGTAGAAACAGTTTAGTTTTCATTTGAATGTCCAGCAGGCAGAGATTAGAAATTGTTATAAAGTCAATCTATTTTAATGTGGTTCATTTAACTGATTTAATCCATATATTATCAGACTTGAATGGGACTTTTCAGGGAATTTAGTTTGCCTTCTTTGTATTTAAGGCTTTCAGATTTTATAGAAGTAAACTCAGTGAAAAGGATAGTGTTATTTAAAATTATTTTGCCACTATTTAAAAAGATTAACTATTTTTTCAATCAGTGGCTCACGCCTGTAATCCCAGCACTTTGGGAGGCTGAGGCGGGCGGATCACAAGGTCAGAAATTCGAGACCAGCCTGGCCAATACGGTGAAACCCCGTCTCTACTAAAAATACAAAAATTAGTTGAGCATGGTGGCGGGCGCCTGTAATCCCAGCTACTCGGGAGGCTGAGGCAGGAGAATCACTTGAACCCGAGAGGCAGAGTTGCAGTGGGCTGAGATCGCACCACTGCACTCCAGCCTGGGTGACAGAGCGAGACTCCATCTCAAAAAAAAAAATAAATAAATAAATAAATAATAAATAAAATAATAATAATATATGCACAAGGTACAAAATTCAAAAGTTACAACAGCTATATAGTGAAAAAGCAGCCTGCCTCCCTTCTTTCCCCCGAACTGATATCCCTCTCTAGATATAGTTGTCAGCTTTTTGTTTCTCTCTACTTTTTAAAAACCAGATGCAAATATTTAAGTTCTTCGAGCAGTGTCTGGTTACCTTCCTTTTAGAATAACAAAAAAAAAAAAATGGCATAGCATAGCATCTTTCCAGAATCCTGTACAAGGTGTTTATTTTACATATGAAACACAGAGAAAATAAAATGTGCTTAGTTTTCACTGAGCCTTGGGAAAGTCTTTTATTGCATATTAATACAATAATGATAGTAAGCTAACATTATATATAACTACAATGACCATATATTGTATATTTTAAATAAATACAAAACTCATTGAAATTCAAGATAATAGTCTTAATATTTGATAATCATTTTTGTATATACTATTTCTCTGATTTGTAAATTCTTGAATTAAAACTTCTCATGAATTTATATAGGAATTGAAAAAAATCTAATTTCCCCTAACTGGAATTCAGTGCTGCTTTTCTAATTTTTTTTATATGCAAGTTCAAAAAGTAGTACGTATGATCTGTGCTCCCAGAAACTGACCTGAAATAAGGGGGAAAAACAAGTAGTATGTACTGGACATTTTACGTATATTATGTCTAATTCTCATAACAGCCTTGCAAGATTGGGTTTGTTGCCCTCTTTGGAGATGAGGAACCTGAGGCTCTGAGAATTGAAGTGACTTGCCACAGGTTCACAGCAAGAAGTGCAAAGCTGAGGTGTACACCTAGTTCACACCCACATCCTGGTCCACAGTGTTGTTAGAAACACAGAATCTACTAGTCTGGAAAAAGGTGGGATGCTTGACAGTGTGGATCTCACTTCATTAAGGCACGTGCCAAAAGCCTGAAGACATGTTCCTAAACAAAATGGAGTTAGGGATGCTAGAGGAAATAGGTTAGGTGAAGTGATAACAGATAAAATAACCCTGTTCTCTAAAGAGCTGATTCACAGCCAACGTATTTCTGGGAGTAGGTACAATAGGGCTCTGTCCTTGGCCCTGTTCTAATCAACGTCTTATTAATGCTTGAGACCAGAGCAGTGAGTAAAATATGGTAGAACTTATAAATAACTATTGAACAAATTAATGAATGAATAAGGATATTTGTGTTGTGCTGATCATAGCTTTATTTTATTTTATTTTATTTTATTTTATTTTATTTTATTTTGAAACAAAGTCTCGCTCTGTCACCCAGGCTGGAGTGCAGTGGCACGATCTCAGCTCGCTGCAACCTCTGACTCCTGAGTTCAAGCGATTCTTGTGCCTCAACCTCCTGAGTGGCTGGGATTACGGGTGCATGCCACCATGCCAGGCTAATTTTTGTATTTTTAGTAGAAATGGGGTTTCACCATGTTGGCCAGGCTGGTCTCAAACTCTTAACCTCAGGTGATCCGCCCGCCTTGGCCTCCCAAAATGCTGGGATTACAGGTGTGCACCACCGCACCCGGCCAGATTTTTCACTGCTGAGTTGAGTTTCTTGTATATTCTGCATATTATTCTCTTGTCAGATGAATAGTTTGTAAATATTTTCTCCCATTCAACAGGTTATCTCTTCATTCTGTTGATTTTCTGTGCTGTGCAGAAGCCTTTTAATTTAATATAGTCCCATTTGTCTATTTGTTTTAGTTGCCTCTGTTTTTGAGGTCTTAGCCATAAAATATTTGCCTAGACCAATGTCCTGGAGTGTTTCCTTCTAGTAGTTCTACAGTTTGGGGCCTTACATTTAAGTCTTTAATCCATCTTGAGTTGATTGTTGTATATGGTGAGAGACAGAGGTCTACTTTCATTCTTTCGCCTATGACAGTCCAGTTTTCCCAGCACCATTTATTGAAGAGGGTGTCCTTTCCTCAGTGTATGTTATTGGCACCTTTGTCATAAATCAGTTGGCTATAAATATGTGGATTTATTTCTGGGTTCTCTATTCTGTTCCACTGGTCTATGTGTCTATTTTTATACCAGTACAGTGCTGTTTGGGTTATTGTAGCCTTG
The DNA here is from genome assembly GCF_000001405.40 of Homo sapiens. Lineage (NCBI taxonomy): Eukaryota > Metazoa > Chordata > Mammalia > Primates > Hominidae > Homo > Homo sapiens. The sequence continues at coordinate 244,948,178 of NC_000001.11, read as the reverse complement.
TAATATGTTCAGAAGTCAGATGGAAAAATGCCTCCAGCTTTGTTCTTTTTGCTCAAGATTGCTTTGGCTATTCAGGCTCCTTTTTGGTTTCATGTGAATTTTAGGGTTGTTTTTCTTTCTATGAAGAATGTCACTGGTATTTTGGTAGATTCATTAATCTGTAGATTGCTTTGGGTAGTATGGCCATTTTAACAATTCTAATTCTTCCAATCCGTGAGCATAGGGTGTCTTTCCTTTTGTTTGTGTCCTCGACAATTTCTTTCATCAGTGCTTTGTAGTTTTCCCTGTAGAGAGCTTTCACCTTCTTGGTTAAATTTGTGTGCAGAGTTTTTGTGTGTGCATAGTTATTGTACGTGGGATTGCCTTCTTGATTTATATTTCAGCCAGTTCTTCATTGGTATATAGAAACACTACTGATTTTTGTATGTTGATTTTGCATCCTGATACTTTACTTAATTTGTCTATTAGTTCTAAGAGTTTTGTGGTAGAGTCTAGGTTTTTCTATTTTTTTTTTCTTTGTATAAGGAGTCTGACACCATAGAGATTTTTCTAAATATAAGCATGTCATCTGCAAAGAGGGACAATTTGACTCCTTCTTTTCCCATTTGGATGCCTTTTATTCCTTTCTCTTGCCTGATTTCTCTTGCTAGGATTTCCAGTACTATGTTGAATACGGGTGGTGAAAGCATAAATCCATCTTACAACCTTTTAATACAGTACTTTTAATGTTAGGCACAGTTTGTTTCTGTCGCTTGTGATAAAAAACAAGAAAGATATATATCTACTTGTTCTTCAGTGCACATTGTATATTCAGCGAGGTTCTTGGCTTATGATATCTGCTTGGACAATGACAAAAATAGGTAATCAATGCTGGCTAACATTAGCAAGGAGGAGAGAAAAGTTGAAGCTAGTGGCTGGACACTAGGGCTATTTTTATTCCCTATTATTGTGAGTTTTTGAGAGAGATTCCAAATGCTTCCTGGAATAATCCAACATTGCTTGCATTTTGTAGGGAGTTCTGTACTAATGTCTATATGACCTACGAACTATTCTTGCCAAAGAAATTGAACCTGAATCTACTCAAGCTTCCAAAGCTTTCATTTACAGAAAATGCTGGGGAATGTAAAGTTAAATGACACCAGGAGGGAGCAAACAAGCAAATCCAGGATGTGAGATATTTTATACATCAATTAAACAAGTATCTTCTATAAGTCAATGACATGTTTTAAATAAGTAGGGCACCATGAATGTATATACCTAATATGTACCCACAAAAATTAAAAATAAAAAAAATTTTAGATGCGTTGGAAGAAGAGGACTCAAAATCAAAAGAAACTTGAGATATTGTAACACCCAAATGTAATATGTACATTCTGATTCAAACATACCAATTGTGACATACAAAGAAGAGTACGTTTACAAGTAACAATCCAAAAAGAAAATTTCTCCAAAACCCATTATTGATATAGTGCCATAGAACACTTTGATGTTAAATAATATGATTTTCATGTAATAGTAATAAAAATATACCCTGCAAAATAAAAAACAGTAGTCTGAGATGTATGAGTTCTAATTATGATTATTGTTCTGTGAACTTGAACACATTACATAATACAGTCAGCTGTAAAATGGAAAGACCAATACCTCATGAAATGGTTATTCAAAGCACCTAATAAAAGTTATGGTAAAAACATGCTAAGCGTAAGTGCTAAAGCTACAGCTTTCAAATAATAGTCCCATAGTGTGGTGGGCAACCTCTGGGGTGGCCCTCAGTGATCTTCTCCTGCTGAGATTCCCACCCTTATGTAACTCCCTTCCCTTGAGTATGATGTCACTTCACAAATTAGGTTACAAAAAGGGGCCAGGCCTGTAATCCTGTAATCCCAGCACTTCGGGAGGCCAAGGCAGGTGGATCACCTGAGGTCAGGAGTTTGAGACCAGCCTGGCCAGCATGGTGAGACCCGGTCTCTACTAAAAATACCAAAATTGGCCAAGCGTGGTGGCGGGCACCTGTAATACCAGCTACTCAGGAGGCTGAGGCATGAGAATCTCCTGAACCTGGGAGGTGGAGGTTGCAGTGAGCTGAGATCATGCCACTGCACTCCAGCCTGGGTGACAGAGCAAGACTCTGTCTCAAAAAATAAAATAAAATAAAATAAAAATACAAAAATTAGCCGGGTGAGTTGTGGCCAGGCGTGGTGGCTCATGCCTGTAATCCCAATGCATTGGGAGGCCAAGGCAGGTGACCACAAGGTCAAGAGTTCATGACCAGCCTGGCCAACAGGGTGAAACCCCGTCTCTACTAAAAATACAAAAAAATTAGCCGGGCGTGGTGGTGGGCACCTGTAATCCCAGCTACTCAGGAGGCTGAGGCATGAGAATCTCTTGAACCCAGGAGGCAGAGGTTGCAGTGAGCCGAGATCAGGCCACTGCACTCCAACCTGGGTGACAGAGCAAGACTCTGTCTAAAAAGAAACAAAAAAGAAGAACAAAGAAATTAGGTTACAAAAAGATTAGGATTCGAGGTTAAGTTACCAGCAGAAGGATAATGAATGAAAAAAGTCATCAGTCTATCCCTACCTCTACACAGATTTTGCCTAAAGTAATCTCAGATCGTGACCTTGAACTGTTGATTTTGGGAGCTGGGTGATGGATAACAGAAAGGATCATTGTATGTTTCACTGGACTATTTTTAAAATCTTAACCATGTTTTTTTTTTTGAGACGGAGTTTCACTCTTGTTGTGAAACAGACCTCCAGAACTCTTTCACCTTGCAGAACTGAAACTCAATACCCATTAACCAACAGCTCTCCTTTTCCCTTCCCCATAGCTCCAGGTAACCATCATTCCTTCCACTTTCTGTTTCTATGAGTTTGACTCCTCCAGAAACCTCATGTAGGTGGAATCTACAGTATTTGTCCTCAAGGTTCATCTATGTTATAGCTTGTGACAGGATTTTCTTCCTTTTTGAGGCTGCATAGTATTCCATCATGTATATATACCAAATTTTGTTTATCTATTCATTCATTGATGGATATTTGGGTTGCTTCCACCTCTTGGCTATTGTGGATAATGCTGTCATGAACATTGGTTTGCAAATATCTCTTCGAGAGCCTTCTTTTATTTCTTTTGGATATGTACTCAGAAGTGAGGTTGCTGGGTCATATGGTAACGGTATTTTTAAATTTGTGAGAAACCATCATGCTGTTTTTCATGGTAATCACACCATTTTGCTATCCCGCCAGCCATTCACAGGGTTTCCAATGCCTCCACATCCCCACCAACATTTGCCATCTTCTGGGGTTTTTTTGGGTGGGGGATTGGGGGGAATAGTAGCTATCCTAATGGGTGTTAGGTGGTATCTCATTGAGGTTTTGATTTGTATTTTTCTAATGATCAGTGATGTTGGGTATCTTTTCATGTACCTGTTGGCCACGTGTATGTCATCTTTGGAAAAATGTCTATATAACTCCCTTGCCCATTTTTTATAGTTTTTTTTCTTTTTTTCATTAAACTTTTTATTATTTTTATTTTATTTATCTTTTTTTTTACAGAGACAGGGTCTTGCAATATTCCTCAGGCTCACCTTGAATTCCTGGACTTAAGTGATCCTCCCAATTCAACCTCTTGAGTAGCTTTTGACTACAGGCGTGCACCACTGTGCCTAGGTTTTTGCCCATTTTTAAATAGGATTATTTGATATTTTGTTGTTGAGTTGTAGAAATTACTTATATATTAAATAATTGTGAATATTTTGGATGTTAACCTCTTACCAAATATATGATTTACAAACGTTTTCTTCCATTTTGTAGGTTGCCTTTTTACTCTGTTGATTGTGTCTTTCGATGCACACAAGTTTTTAAGTTTGAGGTAGTCTCATTTGTCTTTCTTTCTTTCTTTCTTTCTTTCTTTCTTTCTTTCTTTCTTTCTTTTTCTTTCTTTTTCTTTCTTTCTTCCTTTTTTAAGAAAGGCAGAGTGCCACATGCAGCACCTCATTTGGATGTGTCTGGAGTCTTGGAAGCTTAACTACCCTACATTCTCCTACAAATGGACCTTGAGAGCTTGTTTGAAGGTTCTAGCCGGGGAGTGCAGCTACTCTTATACCCTTGACCGGAGACCAGTCCTCCTCTATCTGGGATGGTTGTCCTCTTAAACCAAGCGCACAGCTTCGGGAGGCGAGGGAGGAAGGGGACACGTGCCTAGTCAGCCAGGTCAGCCAAATCAACCCTGGCAATCAATGGGGTGACAGGTGCCACAGCCAGATCACCCTCACATCCATATTTTTTTTAACTGTACTTTTGGTGTTGTATATGAGAAATTATTGTATATGGGAAATTCAATGCCATAACGTTTTTATCCTATGTTTTCTTGAAGGTATTTTAGAGTTTGAGGTTAATTTTTAACTAATGTAATGTGGTATAAAATAAGGGTCTAACTTCATTCTTTTACATGTGGACATCCAGTTTTTCTAGCACCATTTGTTGAACAAACTGTCCTTTCCTCATCAAGTGGTCTTGGCCCCCTTGTTGAAGAATATTTGGCTATGCAAGAATTTATCTCTGGGCTCTCTGTGCTACTCCATTGGTCCATATGTTTCTCTCTATACCAATAGCACACTGTTTGAATTACTGTAGATTCGTAATGTATTTTGAAATCAGGATGCTTTCGTCTTACAAATTTGTTCTTTTTCAAAATTGTTTTGGCTCTTTGGGGTCTCTTGAGATTCCATATGAATTTTAGGATCTATTTTTCTATTTCTGCCACAAACACCATTGATATTTTGATAGGGATTGTATTAAATCTGCAAATGGCTTTGTGTAGTATTGACATCTTAACAATATTAAATCTTCCAATTCATGAACGCAGAATGTCTTTCTATTTATTTGTGTCTTCTTTGATTTCCTTCAACAGTGTTTTATACTTTTTAGTGTACAAGTCATTCACCTCCTTGGTTAGGTAAATTCCTAAGTATTTATTTATTTATTTTTAGAAGGAGTTTTGCTCTTGTTGCCCAGGCTGGAGTGCAGTGGGGCGATCTCGGCTCACTGCAACCTCTGCCTCCTGGGTTCAAGCAATTCACCTGCCTCAGCCTCCCTAGTAGCTTGGATTACAGGCATGTGCCACCACGCCTGGCTAATTTTTATATAGAAGGGGTTTCACCATGTTGGTCACACTGGTCTCGAACTCCTGACCTCAGGTGATCTGCCTGCCTTGGCATCCCAAAGTGCTGGGATTACAGGTGTGAGCCACCACGCCCGGCCAATTCCTATTTTATTCTTTTTGGTGCCATCCTAAATGGAATTGTTTTCTTAATTTCTTTTCCTGACTGTTCATTGTTCATGCATAGAAACATCCCATTAACAACAGCAAAAAAAAAAAAAAAAAAAAAACAGGAATACAACTTTTCTGTTCAGAAATTTTCATATTCCTGCTATTTTGTTCTTTACTGATGCTCCAGAGGAATTGTTTTATGGACTTGATGTCCATTTGGAATAAATGGAGAATTCCGTGGAAATCAGAATGTCAGTAACATACACATTTGCTTAAAAGGCTGAACAGACTTGCAAGTACCCCATATATATACAATTAGAAACACGAATAGGATCATTCATAATTCAAAAGAAACTTGTTTGCATAGCACCAACAGCAGAGAAATTTGGGGGCCGGAGGAGGGGGCCTCTGTGATTACCCAGATCCTTGAAAGGAAATATTAGGCCCCTACATCAGTTGAGACTCTTTTACTTACACTTGGCAGAAAACCCTTCATAAACTGCCTCAAGGGGAAAAGAGGATGCGCATAATGGCAATGTTCTGAGGAACTGGATTTGAGCTTGGCTTGATCCAGAGTTGAAATAATGTTACCACCTCCAACACCATCCTTAGACCAGAGCAAGGGGGCCTGCGCTGAACCCTGCACTGGAGGGCCCTGATATCACAAATCTGAAAATGGAGAAACATTTATCTGTCAGTTTAGGAAATTTTTTTTTCGAGACAAATTCTGACTCTGTCACTCAAGTTGGAGTGCAGTGGTGTGATCTCAGCTCACTGCAACCTCCACCTCCCCAATTCAAGTGCTTCTGCTGCCTCAGCCTCCTGAATAGCTGGGATTAAGGGTGCCCACCACCACTAATTTTTTTTTTTTTTTTGAGACGAGTCTCACTCTGTCTCCCAGGCTGGAGTGCAGTGGCGCGATCTTGGCACACTGCAACCTCCACCTCCCGGGTTCAAGCAATTCTCCTGCCTCAGCCTCCCTAGTAGCTGGGACTACAGGTGTCTGCCACCACGCCCAGCTAATTTTTTGTATTTGTTTTTAGGAGAGATGGGGTTTCACAGTGTTAGCCAGGATGGTCTCGATCTCCTGACCTCATGATCTGCCCGCCTCAGCCTCCCAAAGTGCTGGGATTACAGGCGTGAGCCAACGCACCCAGCCTTAATTTTTGTATTTTTATTTTGTATTTTTGTATTTTTAGAATTTTAACCCCAACAGGGTTTCACCATGTTGGCTAGGCTGGTCTCAAACTCCTGACTTCAGGTGATGTACCCACCTCGGCCTCCCAAAGTGCTGGGATTACAGGAGTGAGCCACCGTACCCGGCCAGGAAAGATTTTAGATTTTTTTTTTTTTTGAGACAGAGTTTTGCTCTTGTTGCCCAGGCTGGAATGCAATGGCACGATCTCAGCTCACCAAAACCTCCGCCTCCCAGGTTCAAGCAATTCTCCTGCCTCATCCTCCCGAGTAGCTGGGATTACAGGCGTGAGCCACCGTGCCCAGCCAGATTTTAGAATTTGATGACTACTGAGTGGAGGGGAATTACAGGAGAGAGATGCAGGTACATCCCCAGTGCAGAAGTGAAAGTCTTTTGGTTGTTTCATTTGGCTGCACCAGGCGCAGGCCTGTAGGCCTGCGTCGTCCAACGTCTACACACGGCTGTTGAACACTTAACATTTAGCTATTCGAAATTGAGATGTAAGCGTAGAATACACACTGGATCTTGAAGATTAGTACAAAAGAAATAAGTAAAATGCCTCATTAATAATTTTTTATATTGGCGACATATGTGTGTGTCTGTGTGTGTGTGTGTGTGTGTTTTGAGACAGGATCTCATTCTGTCACCAAGGATGGAACACAATGGCACGATCACAGCTCACTGCAGCCTCTGCCTTCCCGACTCAAGCCTTCCTCCCACCTCAGCCTCGCAAGTAGCTGGAACTATAGGCGCACACCACCATGCCCAGCTTATTTTTGTATTTTTTGTAGAGACAGGGTCTCTCCATGTTGGCCAGGATGGTCTTGAACTCCTGGCCTCAAATGATCTGCCCCCTTGCCCTCCCAAAGTGCTGGGATTTCAGGCGTACACCTCCACGCCTGGTCAGCTATATGTTGAAATGATAATATTTTCATCTCTTTCTTTTAACTTTTTATAATGTCACTGCCAATATTGGTTTCATTACGTATGTGACTTGCATTCTATCCCTATCAGGCAGCACTTTGTCTGGGCCGACTGAGTTTCCCAGAAAACCCCACTTTCCCTCTCCTCTGCTCTGGCAGTTTGGGGAGGTGCTTAGAACTGCTTGAAATGTGTGGGGAGAGGGGAACCTGCCTACCCCAGCTCTCTGGGTGATTGACAGGTCAGTCCCCTTCCCGGGAGTTTGCCCAGATGACCTGGAGTCAATCCCCTTCCTGCCCAGCTCCCGCCATGCCTGACTGGCGCCCTTCAGCTGCTGTTGCATAGGGCGTCACAGAGCAGGCGTCCCTAGAAGCTCCCTTGGGACCCACGGGGGCAACCCCAGGACAGGAACCTGTTCAGAGTGGTAGAGAATGGCACCATCCTACTGCCCCAAGGGGGAGGTGGAGGAAAGGCTTTCTAGTTTTAATGAGGGGCCAGCTGTGGCTGCCAGGGTGATAGAATGGAATTTTATTTATTTATTTATTTATTTATTTATTTATTTATTTATTACTTTTGGGTTTTTTTGAGATGGAGTCTCACTCTGTCACCCAGGCTGGAGTGCAGTCGTGCAATCTCGACTCATTGCAACCTCCGCCTCCCGGGTTCACACCATTCTTCTGCCTCAGCCTGCCAAGTGGCTGGGACTACAGGCGCCCGCTACTAAGCCCGGCTCGTTTTTTTGTATTTTTAGCAGAGTGGGGGTTTCGCCATGTTGGCCAGGCTGGTCTCAAACTCCTGACCTCAGGTGATCCACCTGCCTCGGCCTCCCAAAGTGTTGGGATTACAGGCGTGAGCCACCGCGCCCAGCCTACAATGGAATTTAATGAATACTGTCATAGGACAGTAAATACTGTACTCCCAAATTCACACATTTCTAGAGAGATTTTCTTCCCCTCTCCCCACCCCCACCTTTTTGGCCACGGGTATTTGGAATATGAGGATTGGACCAGACCTTAAGATGACTGTCAGGAATCCGCTTTAGGCCAGGTGCGGTGGCTTGAGTCTGTGATCCCAGCTACTTGGGAGGCTCAGGCAGAGGCCAGGAGTTCGAGACCAGCCTGGGCAACACAGCAAGACTCCTATCTCCAAAATAAAAAATAAGTTAAAAAAAAAAAGGGATCTGCTTTAGCCCAAATCTACCCCTGCACCAACCTCCCTGGGATATCCGGTGCTTCCACAAAGACCACTCGGCTTCCATCCAGCTTAAGACAACCAGAGTGCATACTATATTTTCTATGCTTGCTTTATACCACATTATTCATTTTTCATTTAATCGTTTGATATGCTATTTAAGGTACTTTTCTAGGTATTTGGATTCTGACATCCCATCTGACTAAGGAGCTTACTGTCTTCCTTACTCTTAGACTGTTCCTGAGTGTTCTGGCGCAGTGGACACTCGATTGCTATTGACTATCAGTGGAACCTATTATCGGACTCCCCTGGAAAGAGGTCTTGGCCACCAGTATAGGCCATTCCACTCTATAACTTCCAGGTCATTTACTAGGCACAAGACCATCATGACCACTCTAGTTAGCATGCAAAACACAGGAGGCAATATCTGGTCATGACTGGATCATTGCTCTGCATATCTGATAAAAACAACAACAATCTGGCCACGCACAGTGGCTCACGCCTGTAATCCCAGCACTTTGGGAGGCCGAGGCGGGCAGATCACGAGGTCAGGAGATCGAGGCCATCCTGGCCAACATGGTGAAACCCCATCTCTACTAAAAATACAAAAATTAGCTGGACGTGGTGGTACGTACGTGCCTGTAATCCCAACTACTCAGGAGGCTGAGGCAGGAGAATTGCTTGAACCCGGGAGGCGGAGATTGCAGTGAGCCGAGATTGTGCCACTGCACTCCAGCCTGGCGACATAGCAAGACTCAGTCTCAATAATAATAATAATAAATAAATAAATAAAATAAAATAAAATAAAAATATCTATGAGAATGTCATGATGAACAAGGCAAGTTTACCTGGCAGTACATGGATGTCAGATCCCTGCCCTGGACTCCAGTACTATGTGGTTGACCTGCCCTCTGATGATACGTTTCTATGCCTCACATGAGCTGTTGGAGGAGAGGTACTTTTGCTTTCATCTAAGTTGGCTTGGATTTCTATCTAAAATGTCTTTCACATACAAGCAACCAACAAATATATGGAAAAAATGCTCACCATCATCAGGGAAATGCAAATCAAAACCATAATGAAATACCCTCCTATACCAGTCAGAATGGCTATTACTATTATTATTATTGTTTTGTTTTGTTTTTTGAGACGGAGTCTTGCTCTGTCACCAGGCTGGAGTGCAGTGGTGCAATCTTGGCTCACTGAAACCTCCGCCTCCCTGTTCAAGTGATTCTCCTGCCTCAGCGTCCTGAATAGCTGGGACTATAGGTGCGCGCCACCATGCCCAGCTAATTTTTGTATTTTTAGTAGAGATAGGGTTTCACCATGTTGGCCAGGATGGTCTCGATCTCTTGACCTCGTGATCTGCCTGCCTTGGCCTCCCGAAGTGCTGGGATTACAAGCATGAGCCACCATGCCAGCCCAGAATGGCTATTATTAAAAAGTAAAAACATCAACAACAACAACAAACAGATACTGGCAAGGCTGCAAAGAAAAAGGAACACTTCTACACTGTTGGTGGGAATGTAAATTAGTTCAGCCACTGTGGAAAGCAGTTTGGAGATAGCTCAAAGATTTTAACAAGATTGGCCAGGTGTGGTGGCTCATGCCTGTAATCCCAGCAATGTGGGAGGCCGAGGTGGGAGGATCACCTGAGGTAAGGAGTTCGAGACCAGCCTGGCCAACATGGTGAAACCCCTCTCTACTGAAAATACAAAAATTAGCTGGGTGTGGTGGCGCATGCCTGTAATCCCAGCTACTCGGGAGGCTGAGGCAGGAGAATCGTTTGAACCTGGGAGGCGGAGGTTGCAGTGAGCTGAGATTGCACCACTGCACGCCAGCCTGGGTGACAGAGTGAGACTCCATATCAAAAAAAAAAAGAAAGAAAATAGAAAAAAAGAAAGCTAGAAAATTCGGTTAATGCCAGATTGCAAAATGCTGTATATCTCATATTGAATTTCAAATGTTATCTATAGATTATAGACAACATCTATAGATTCTAGAACTGGGGAGTGACTCAATCACACCTGTGATTCAGAAAGATGATAGGAGGCAGTGGAGAAGCTGGATTCAAGTGGGCAGGACGAAAGGTAGGGTGACCAGTGGGAAGCTGGCTCTTTAGTGCAGGCCAGGCAGTGGAGGGCTGCAGTGGTAAGGATGAAGAATAGGGGATTTATATTTGAAAGACATTTTATTTGATTTGATTATAATTTCAACATTTATTTTAGCTTCAGGGGTACATGTGTAAGTTTTTTACCTGGGCATATTGTGTGATGCTGAGGTTTGGGGTATGACTGATCTTGTCACTTGGGTACTGAGCATAGTTCCCTATAGGTGGTTTTCTAACCCTTGCCCCAATCCCTCCATCCCTCCATCCCCCACAATCCCTCCATCCCCCACAATCCCTCCATCCCTCCCAATCCCTCCATCCCTCCCAATCCCTCCATCCCTCACAATCCCTCCATCCCTCCCAATCCCTCCATCCCTCCCAATCCCTCCATCCCTCCCAATCCCTCCATCCCTCCCAATCCCTCCAATCCCTCCATCCCTCCCAATTCTAGTGGTCCTCAGTGTCTAGTGTTGCCATCTTTATGTCCATATGTACCCAACATTTAGCTCCCACTTATAAGTGAGAACATGTGGTTTTTGGATTTCTATTCCTGCATTAATTTGCCTAGGAACTAATGGCCTCCAGCTGCATCTATGTTGCTGCAAAAGACATGATTTCGTTCTTTTTTTATGGCTGCGTAGTAGTCCATGGTGTATATATACCACATTTTCTTTAACCAATCTGCCTCTGATGCCCATCAGGTTGATTTTGTGTCTTTGCTATTGGGAAAAGTTCTGCAATTAACATGTGAGTGCAGGTGTCTTTATGGTAGGACAATTTATTTTCTTTTGGATATATACCCAGTAATGGGATTGCTGGGTTGAATGGTGGTTCTATCTTAAGTTCTTTTTTTTTTTTTTTTTGAGACAGAGTCTCACTCTGTTACCCAGGCCGGAGTGCAGTGGCATAATTTCAGCTGACCACAACCTCTGTCCCCTGTAATCACAGCTACACAGGAGGCTGAGGCAGGAGAATTGCTTGAGCCTGGGAGGCGGAGGTTGCAGTGAGCCGAGATCACACCAATGCACTTCAGCCTGGGAGACAGAGTAGGACTGTCTCAAAAAAAAAAAAAAAACATGTTGTTGATTGTTGATTGTTGATTTTGTAGCAGGGTCACACACAGGTGAAGAGAGACTCATAGAGAAAGTGATTCTTGAGCTTGGGTCTCTGAAGAATGAGTAGGATTCTTGCTGGATAGAAAAGCAATGTGCTATGGTGGAATCCATCTCTTATAAGCCCAGAACCTAAACCCTAAATTCAGAGACTTTGGACTGTTTGCTGCTTAACAGTGAGCGTGCTGCAAAGACAAATAACAATGAACACTTATTTCATGTAAACTGCACGTCTGGCAATGTATTAACTCATTTAAACTTCACAACAAGCTTGGGAAATAAGATACTATTATTATCCCCATTTTAAAGGTGAGGAACCTGTAGAAGTTGAATTAATTGCCCTTGGTTACATAGCAAGTAAGTGGTAAATTAAAACCCAGGGGTGTGGCTACAGCTCTTAACTGCTGACATGAAGCCTCTAAAATGAGCGTTTATAAGAAAGCCTCCCTTTGTGAGTTGCAATGCATTGCACAAGTGTTAGTTATTATATTATGCAAGGAAAAAGCCTTTTCAGGTTAAGAGGGCAGTATGAGAAAATCTACAAGATTTTAAAGCATTCAGGAATTCCTTTTTGCTAAAGATTTTTGGGGGAAGGAGGGTTGAGGCAGAGCAGGCGTATCACTAGCCAGAAAGCTAGAAAAGTGGGCTGGGCATGGTGGCTCATGCCTGTGATCCCAGCACTTCGGGAGGCCAAAGTGTGCACCACCACACCTGGCTAATTTTTGTATTTTCAGTAGAGATGGGGTTTCACCATGTTGGCCATGCTGGTCTCAAACTCCTAACCTCAAGTGATGCACCTGCCTCAGCCTCCCAAAATGCTGGGATTACAGGCGTGTGCCATTGCGCCCAGCCTCAACATGCTTAATTGAAGATGTCATTGATTGTGGGGTGAACCATTGTTTTGTGCATCATTAAGGAAAAAACCTGTCAATAATAATTGTGAGACCCGGCACAATGGCTCACGCCTGTAATCCCAGCACTGTGAGTGGCTGAGACAGGCAGAACGCTTGAGCCCAAGAGTTTGAGACCAGCCTGGGCAACATGGCGAAACCTCATCTCTACTAAAAATACAAAAAAATCAGCTGAGCATGGTGGCATGCACCTGTAGTCCCAGCTACTTGGGAGGCTGAGGTGAGAGGATTGCCTGAGTCCTGGAGGCAGAGGTTGCAGTGGGCCGAAATCGTGCCACTGCACTCCAGCCTGGGTGACAGTGAGACCCTGTCTCAAAATTAATAATAATAATAATAATAATTGTGAGACACCATCTATTGTAAGATGCATCTGGACTTCAGAGACAATAATGTACATCTTAGAATAGGTGAAACAAGGTCATCCCTCCCTTAACTGGGTGAAGGTGGCAGGCTGTGAATATCTCTAACAAGCACACCTTGTACTACATCATAGTTGGTTGTTATTGGGGCTGCTTTCTCTGGTAGATATGAGTAACTTTAGGTTAGGGAATATATCTAACTTACTTTGCTATTTCAGTGCTTACCACTGTGCTTGGCACAAGATAGATATTCAATCCCAATTTGTTTCATGTAAATTGAAATCCTAGTACATAGCATCATATTAGACACTGTGAGGGGTACACCGAAATTGAAAGATCTGGGACTGACTTTGTATAGTAAGAACACTTCAGTGACCCAACAACTTAAGCAACATACATTGGCAAATTGGTCAGCTTGCTTTGAGGCATAGAAAAATAAACGATGTCGTCCAGGCGCGGTGGCTCATGCCTGTAATCCCAGCACTTTGGGCGGCCGAGGCGGGTGGATCATGAGGTCAGGAGTTCAAGACCAACCTGGCCAAGATGGTGAAACCCCCGTTTCTACTAAAAGTACAAAAATTAGCCAGGCGCGATGGCAGGTGCCTGTAATCCCAGCTATTCAGGAGGCTAAGACAGGAGAATCACTTGAACCCTGGAGGCGAAGCTTGCAGTGAGCCAAGATTGCGCCACTGCACTCCAGCCTGGGCGACAGAGCCAGATTCCATCTCAAAAACAAAAAGAAAAAAAAAAATTAGCCAGGTGTGGTGGCGTGCGTTTGTAGTCCCAGCTACTCAGGAGGCTGAGGCAGGAGAATCGCTTGAACCCGGGAGGCAGAGGTTGCAGTGAGCCGAGACCATGCCACTGCACTCCAGCCTGGTGACAGGGTGAGACTCTGACTCAAAAAAAAGAAGGAAAGAAAAAGAAACCATGTCACAGGCTGCCTTCCATATTGGTACTACTTTCCACAGGAAATAAGGGCCTTACCTTGCTTGGAATTGTTGCAAATACACATACATCTTATGGAGGTTTTCAGAGACAGATGGACATTTTGCCAGCAATGACAATAGACGATATTCCTAGAGGCTTGAAGATATCTGCTTTTGAATTAAACATAGCGAAAGGCCTGTTCCTCCTACAGCACTTTTGGATACACCTATTCTCTGGCTTCCTTTCCCTCCTTCTGAAGGGCTTCGATGACCTGCCTTTTAAAGTTTAAAAATAGGTGCCCAGACTAGGCTCTGAAACAGTTCAAGAACACAGCATCACAGGAATCCCAGATTCTATAAAAATTTTGGCCGCATTTTCTTTTTTCTTTTCTTTTCTTTTCTTTTCTTTTTTTTTTTTTTTTTTTTTGAGATGGAGTCTCGCTCTGTCGCCCAGGCTGGAGCGCAGTGGTGTGATCTCGGTTCACTGCAACCTCCAGCTTCCGGGTTCCAGCGATTCTCCTGCCTCAGCCTCCCGAGTAGCTGGGATTACAGGCACCTGCCACCACACCCAGCTAATTTTTGTGTTTTTAGTAGAGACGAAGTTTCACCATGTTGGCACAGCTGGTCTTGAACTCCTGACCTCAGGTGATCCGTCTGCCTCAGCCTCCCAAAGTGCTGGGATTACAGGAGTGAGCCACTGCACCCAGCTCGCCACAGTTTCATTCCTGTAAATACGATGACCTTTGTCATCGTCTTAAAAGCAAAAGCAATACCACTGTTTTTTATTTTGTTTTGCTTGTTTTTGCTTACCTTTCATCCAGCAACTAATCTTTTTTTTTTTTTTTTTTTGAGACAGAATCTCACTCTGTCACCCAGGCTGGACTGTAGTGGCGTGATCTCGGCTCACTGCAACCTCTGCCTCCCAGGTTCAAGCAATTCTCCTGCCTCAGCTTCCCAAGTAGCTGAGGTTACAGGCATGCACCACAACACCCAGCTAATTTTTGTACTTTTAGTAGACACAGGGTTTCACCATGTTGGCCAGGCTGATCTCAAACTCCTGACCTCAAGTGATCTGCCCACCTCGGCCTCCCAAAGTGCTGGGATTACAGGCATCAGCCACCATGCCTGACCTCAATTAATCATTTTATTTCTATTTTTATGTTTTTGTAGAGACAGGGTTTTCCTATGTTGCCCATGCTGGTCTTGAACTCCTGGGCTCAAGAGATCCTCCCACTTACTCCCACTTTAGGAGTAAAGTGCTGGGATTACAAGCATGAGCACTGCATCCAACCAAACAATTCATCTTTAAACGAAAAGAAAGCTCCAAGTAGTGCAGAAAAGCTGCTTCTAGAACCTTCTCTGTTGTCCTCGAGCATGCACAAGTGCAAACCTGGTGGTCTGGGGAACACCAACTGATCCACCTGGAAAATGTGAAGATGAACTTCCTCTCCACTGACAAGGACATCTTTAAAGGAAGTTCTTGTCTGGATTTCTTAGTGACTGCAGGTGAATGTTTATCCTGCTTTCCCTCTTTCTCTTTAGGTGTATAAAACCAAAGAGAGGCCAGGCACAGTGGCTTGTGCCTCTAATCCCAGCAGTTTGGGAGGCCGGGGCAGGTGGATCCCTTGAGGTCTGCAGTTCGAGACCAGCCTGGCCAACATGGTGAAACCCCGTCTCTACTAAAAGTATAAAAATTAGTGGTGGTAAGTGCCTGTAATCCCAGCTACTAAGGAGACTGAGCCAGGAGAATCGCTGGAACGCAGGAAGCGGAGGTTGCAGTGAGCCAAGATTGCACCACTGCACTCCAGCCTTGGCGACAGAGTGACACTCCATCCCAAAGTGAAAAATAAATAAATAAATAAATGAAACCGAGGAGAGTGGATGGTCCATGGAGTGCTACGTATATGCCTTGCCCATATTTTCCTTCTAAGACATGAGCATGCTTCGCGCCTGTCACCTTACTTTGCATCATATAATGCTGTAACCTTGGCCACACCAGACTGTACTCTGAAACAGCTCCACCAAAGCCAGTGGGCTATAAAAGCAGACCTCCGTCCATGAGGTGGCCTGGTACACGCATCTCCCCACACAGCAGGAGTAATCCATATTGAATGGTGATGAACTGACCTAATCAGATCCTTTATCTTCAGGACTTTTGAATGTGAACCAGAGAGAAAGCATAGAAATGGAATCTGAGGGCCGGGAGCGATGTCTCACACCGGCAATCCCAACAGTTTGGGAGGCTGGGGCAGGCAGATCATTTGAGGTCAGGAGTTCGAGACCAGCCTGACCAACATGGTGAAACCCCGTCTCTACTAAAAATACAAAATTAGATGGGCGTGGTGGCACATGCCTGTAGTCCCAGCTACTCTGGATGCTGAGGCAGGAGAATTGCTTGAACCCGGGAGGTGGAGATTGCAGTAAGCAGAGATGACACCATTGCACTCCAGCCTGGGTAACAAGAGAGAAATTCTGTCTCAAAAAAAAAAAGAAAAAAAAAGAAGAAGAAAGGAAGGAAGGAAGAAAGAAAGAGAAAGAGAAAGAAAAGAAAAGAAAGAAATGGAATGGAATAGAATCTGAGGAAACGAGTTAGCTGCGTGGGCATGACACCAAAGCAAGCGCAAAAAGCTTCAGCTCTAGAGAGGAGGCCACTTACCTGCCATTGCTTTTACAAAACATTGGTTGGAATGTTGGCCTGACCATTTTGGCCAGGCTGATCTTGAACTCCTGACCTCGTGATCCACCCACCTCGGCCTCCCAAAGTGCTGGGATTACAGGCGTGAGCCACCGGGCCCGGCTGACCTTTGTATTCTTGGTTGTTATTTTGAAAACTTGAAATAGGCTGGGTGCAGTGGCTCACGCCTGTAATCCCAGCACTTTGGGAGGCCGAGGTGGGTGGATCATGAAGTCAGGAGTTCGAGATCAGCCTGTCCAAAATGGTGAAACCCCGTCTCTACTAAAAATACAAAAATTAGCTGGGCATGGAGCTGCATGCCTGTAATTCCCAGCTACTCAGGAGGCCAAGACAGGAGAATCGCTTGAACCTGGGAGGCAGAGGTTGCAGTGAGCCAAGGTCTTCCCATTGCACTACAGCGGGGGCGACAAGAGCGAGACTCCGTCTCAAAAACAAAAAAAAACAAGGATCATTCTTTTCTTCATAAATTTATGTCTTTATGCAAATATTCCACACAGTAGCTTCCTAAAAGTGGAATTTGGAGGGCCAAAGGGAATCTGCACTTAACCTTTTAATTGATGTTGCCAAATACCTTTCTACCACTTGAGATCATCTAAGCCTCCTTTCCTTTCTTCCCATCTAGAGCATGTAACCAAGGTGGATTCAGCTACACTGGAGATCAGTTGCCCCATCCCCCTGAAGTTGATTGTGCCCAAGTTAAGAATATCTAGTGGAATGTGTTCCTTGTTACCTGAGGAGTGAAGGTGCGTCTGTTCGGGCTGTCAGTCTGTTTTGCAGCACCTCGCTCAGGTAAGCTACCCTGGAATGAATACCTCCTATATTTTGAAAAATCCTTGTGGTTGTCATTCAAGTACTGCTGTATGCTGGTGTCTATCCTCATAAAAGACAACAGTCAAAAAGACACACACATTAATTTCAAATGTGTGACGCAGGGCAGCAGTATGCACTGATATCGAACCTAAAGAAGATGAATGTTTTACATAAGGCTGCACCACGGAAATTTTATGTATGGAGCTTAAAGTTAGAAGCCAGCCTCGAAGTCTGCTATTTAGAGGGCCATGTCCAATGATATTCAAGTTAATAAAGCAAAAATTGAATTAAGGAGGCCAAGCATATCCTTTTAAAATGTAGCTGACTAAAGTGCTGATAGCGAAGCTATCAGCTGGCTTTTGTATTTTTTGGCTTTTTTTGTATTTTTAGTAGAGATGAGGTTTCGCCATGTTGCCCAGGCTGGTCTCAAACTCTTGGGCTCAAGCGTTCTGCCTGTCTCAGCCACTCACAGTGCTGGGATTACAGGCGTGAGCCATTGTGCTGGGTCTCACAATTATTACTGACAGGTTTTTTCCTTAATGATGCACAAAACAATGGTTCACCTTACAATCAATGACATCTTCAATTAAGCGTGTTGAGGCTGGGCGCAATGGCACAAGCCTGTAATCCCAGTATTTTGGGAGGCTGAGGCAGGTGCATCACTTGAGGTTAGGAGTTTGAGACCAGCCTGGCCAACATGGTGAAACCCCATCTCTACTGAAAATACAAAAATTAGCCAGGTGTGGTTAAACGGAAGGTCTTCTTCATTCAATAACGATTCTTATAAGTCTGCATGCCATGTACCAAGGACTCAGAGACAATCAAGACATAGTCCTCGACCTCAAGGACATGACGGATCTATGAGACATGAAATAGGAACACAGTGTTAGGGGCAACTAGCCTGTCCTGATGGACCTGGGGTGGATTTCACAGAGATGATATTTAAATGGAGACTGGAAAGGTAAGTTGACATTTTCCAGGTGCAAAAAGAAGGGGAAAAGCATTTCAGGCAAAGGCACAGGCGTGTAAAAGGATCTGGCAAATCTAAGGGATGTGGGAAATGCGAGAATTTCCATGCTTTTGGAAGACAATGATAATACAGGTTTCGTCAGAAGTGTTCCATCTGAGGAGCATCCTTTATGAGCCACATCTCAGACTGGGCCCTTTATTTCTGTCTTCTTTCCCTGTCTGGAACGTGCTATCCAATATGGAAGTCACTGGCCACATGTGGCTATTGAGTGCTTGAAACATGGTCAGTATGACTGAAGAACTGAATTTTTAATTTCATTTTAACTTAAATGTAAAAATGCATACACTTGATTTAGTTGTTGGAAAATTTTTTAGTTTGTGAAGAATAACTTGGTTATGTGAATCTACTTTTTCAACTATAAATTTTATGCACTCTAAATACAGATCAGGCCAGGCGCAGTGGCTCATGCCTATAATCCCAGCACTTTGGGAGGCCGAGGTGGGAGGATCACTAAAGGTCAGGAGTTCGAGACCAGCCTGGCCAACATGTTGAAACCCCATCTCTACTAAAAATATCAAAAAAAATTTAGCTGGGCATGGTGATGCATGCCTGTGTAATCCCAGCTACTCAGGCAGCTGAGGTGGGAGGGTCCCTTGAGCCCAGGAGGTGAAGGTTGCAGTGAGCCGAGATTGTGCCACTGCACTCCAGCCTGGGTGACAGAGTGAGAACCTGTCTCAAAACAAAAACTAAAACAAAAAAAAACAAAGAATGTAACACATCTCATTGATGACTTTTTATATTGATTACATGTTGAAATGATATTTCAGCTATATTGGGTAAATAAAATATATTATTAAAATTAATTTCATCTGTTTTCCTTTTTAAAATGTGGCTACTAAAATTTTTTGAATGACATACATGGCTCATACTATATTTCTATTGACATTGCTGGTCTGGACCCTCCTCACTCATGCTTGGAGCTCTTTAATAGTTCCCTAACTATTCTTTGTGCCTTCTCTTGTTATACATACTCTCTACTAGTTTAATCCTCTCAAAACACTATTTTAGTTTTTTGGGATGGGGTCTCACTTTGTTGTCCAGGCTGGAGTGCAGTGGTACAATCATGGCTCACTGCAACCTCCACCTCCTGGGCTCAAGCGATCCTCTCACCTCAGCCTCCTGAGTAGCTGGGACCACAGGTATGCACCACCACACCCCACTAATCTTTTTAAATTTTTTGTAGGGATGGGATCTTGCTGTGGTGCTCAGGCTGGTCTCGAACTCCTAGGCTCGAGCAATCCTCCCACCTTGGCTTCCCAACGTGCTGGAATTACAGTTGTAAGCCCCTGTACTCAGCCTTCAAAGCACTACTTCTACCAAACGAGGGATGCAAATTCCTAAATCACTTCTCAAGTCCTAGAACATCAGCTCCCTTCTCCCTCGCCAGTCTGTTTCATGGGCCTTCTCCATTTCATCCAGCCCTCCCTTCAAAATCCAGCTCCTTGTTTCCTTCTCTCTGGCCCCAAACCTCAGCTCCATCTTCTGATTCTTCAAGAAAAGCTAAAAAAAATCCAGATTTCTATTTGGAAATTTCTGATTTGCAAAATGTTGACAACTCTGACAGAGACGGCCTACCCAATAGCCATTCCCCCTTTTCCTTAGAACACTGCTTTGAATCTGGGCAGCAAGCTTCCTGGATAAAATAATACATTTCCCAGTCTCTCTTGCACCATGGGTGGATAATAAGATAAATGGGGAAATTAAAGGCAGCCACCTCAGCTGGGAAATGTCCCCTTTTGCTCTCTCCGTCTTTCTCCTTCCTGATAGAATGAATGCAGATGGCTGGAACCCTGGCAGCCTCCTTGTATCATAAGACAGTACTGAGAGTGAAAGCCATATGGCAAGAATGGTGGAGCAGAAAGATGGCTGCCTAGGTTCTGGCTGACTCTGGAGCCACCATCTTGAATTGCCTATCTTTGGTTTGTCTTTTACATGGGAGAGGAATAAACCTCCATCTTATATAAGCCACTAATTTGGCTTTTCTATTCATATGTGGCCAAACCTAATTTGACAATTACTTCAGTGGTTTAAAAAGCACTGTGGGCCAGGTGCGGTGGCTGACACTTGTAATCCCAGCACTTTGGGAGGCCGAGGCAGGCAGATCACAAGGTCAGGAGTTTGAGACCACCCTGGCCAACATAGTGAAACCCTGTCTCTACTAAAAATGCAAAAAATTAGCTGAGCGTGGTGGCAGGTGCCTGTAATCCTAGGCAATTGCTTGAACCCGGGAAGTGGAGGTTGCAGTGAGCAGAGATTGTACCACTACACTCCAGCCTCAGCGGCAGTGGGAGATCCGTCTCAAAAAAAAGCACTGTGAAGATGCAAAGAAACAAAACAAACAAACACAAAACGTGCCTACGGTGCACCTAAAAGCAAAGCATCTGGGCCTCAGTTTACCAATTTGAAAAACTGGTTCATTTCATTAAATGATCTATGAAGCCATTTCCAGGATTAAAACTTTTTGTACATGTTAATTTATTAATCACATATATGAGTGCCTGTTATTTACCAGATACTATTTTAGGTGCTGGGATACGGCAGTGAGCAAGAACATAAATTAAACTCCTCTAACATTTGCACTGTGAATCATTCAGTGCCAATCTTTAAGCCAAGATCAGCCACTCGCACAACTATGTGAACAAGTCATTTAATTTCTGTGTTCTGATGAGTCTAATCACCAAGGAGGGTTAATAATGCTTTAGCTTGGCTGGGTGCGGTGGCTCACGCCTGTAATCCCAGCACTTTGGGAGGCCAAGGCGGGTGGATCACCTGAGGTCAGGAGCTCAAGACCAGCCTGGCCAAGATGGTGAAACCCTGTCTCCACTAAAAATACAAAAAAATTAGCTGGGTGTGGTGGCAGGCCCCTGTAGTCCCAGCTACTTGAGAGGCTGAGGCAGAGAATTGCTTGAACCCAGGAGGTGGAGGCTGTAGTGAACCAAGATCACACCACTGCACTCCAGCCTGGGTGACAGAGCGAGACTCCGTCTCAAAATAAATAAGTAAAATAATAATGCTTTAGCTAGGCTGGGTGTGGTGGCTCACATCTGTAATCCCAGCACTTTGGGAGGCCAAGGCGGGGGTGTCACTTGAGGCCAGGAGTTTGAGACCAGCCTGGCCAACATGGCGAAACCCTGTCTCAACTAAAAATACAAAAGGTAGCTGGGTGTGGTGGTGCATGCCCGTAATCCCAGCTACTCCACAGGCTGAGACAGGAGAATCACTTGAACCTGGAGGCGGAGGTTGCAGTGAGCCAAGATCACACCACTGCACTCCAGCCTGGGAGACAGAGTGAGACTCTGTCTAAATAATAATAATAATAATAATACTTTACCTCACTAGCAATAGCTAATATATGCATTGAGTGCTTGACATAGATGATCTAATTTAATCCTCACATGAGGTGATCCCCAATGTCTTGAGAAAAATAAGAAGAAATTAGGTAACTTGTTCACAGCTAGTAAGCACTAGAGCCATCTTCAAAACTCAGTTTAATTCTTTGGACACTTTGAGGATCAAATGAAAATAATGAATGCGAATATATATGGGGAAATTAGCAATTGCATACAAATTCTTTCTCTAAGGTCACGAGAAAGGTCACTTGAAAGAGAACTAAAACAAAGTTTCTAAGTAGATGATGTGTGTTACATATATAAAGAGCTAATAGGTACTGCTTACTTCCTGTCAGAGACATTGCCAAGTGCTTTGTATCTACTGCCTACCAGGAATCAAATAGTGGCCTACGTGCTGAGGACACAGAGATGAATCATTATGAACAGGTATACTGTAGAAATGAACCCACTATATTTGGGGAACATGATTTAATGTTAGCATTAAGCCTCAGCAGACAGTAACATCCTGCTTTCTTTCTATATATCCTAACGTGTTTACCAACTTATTATAATTAGCTGGGTCACTGCCCTGATCAATATCCCTGAATAATAGTTCCTTAAGTCATTTCATCTTTTGGTTATTTTTTCAGTCTTGGAAGAAAATAACCTCCACAAAAATGCTATGAGGAAAACTTAAAAATGTTAACTTCTGCAATCCCTGTTACATATGACAAGTTGAACATAAGTCTTTATATCACCTCTCCCAAAATTCTACTAAAATGAGCACATTTAAAATTAACCATGGATTAATTTAAATGTGCTGATAACAAGCACATTTAAAATTAACCATGGGTCAGAGACCATTCTAAAGGCTTTTGATATATTAATTGGTTTAATCCTCACAATTAAGGTACTAATCCAGTGAGGTAGGTACTCATATTATCCTCATTTTACAGAGAAGATTCTAAAACTTTCTAGAAAGATAAAACAGGTCACACATAAAAGATCAGGAATTGGAATAACGCCATATTGCTCTATGTCAACATAAAATCAGCATTCGTTTTCTCAACAGAAGAAATTGAGAGATGCCTTCAAAATTCAGAGGAAATGTGCTTTTCAAACTAAAATCATAATCCCAGCCTGTAGAAGAAAGTAAAATAAAAACATTTTCTACCGTGCTCTTGCACAGCAAAAATTTTATTTGTCCCATGCTTTTTCTCAGCAAGTTACGGGCAGATGTACACCCCTCCCCACCACAACGCACACATGGCAAATCAAGAAAGATGAGTACATGAGATCCAAGAAACAGGAAATCCCACACAGCAAGGAGTTCAAGAAAATTTCCAAGTTGTTGGTGAAGAAAAATCCCAGGTGTGTGGTGAGCTCAGAGAGCAGTCAGTCCTGGTTAAAATAGGCAGAGAAGGTTCTGGTAAGAAAGTATTCAAGAAAAGAATAAAACTAATGGGTTATTTCATGTATTTGATCAGTTTACATCTTTATTGGAACATTTAGGGTTGATTTAGTAGTAAGTACACAAAAAATGAAGTAAATAAAAAAGTGAGGCTGGGAGTTTGAGACTAGCCTTGGCAACGTAGCGAGACCTCATCTCCAAAAAAACAGAAAAACTGGCTGGGTGTGGTGGTGCATATCTATAGTTCTAGCTGCTTTGGAGGCTGAGGCAGGAGAGTCCCTTGAGCCCAGGAGTTTGAGGCTCCAGGGAGCTATGACGGTACCACTGCGCTCCAGCCTGGGCAACAAAGCAAGACCTTGTCTCTGAAAAAAATTTTTAAATGATTTAAAGCAAGACAATTATTAACCAGGAAAAACACATTTAAAACTTTAAATTAAAAATCATTAAAAAGTAAAAGTTAACAAACATTAGGAGAACCAAAAAGAGTGTACAAGAAAAATGTAATTAGCTGTGAACTATATAAAGATGGAAATGCTATTTATTTAACAAAAACAAGGATATGACTACACTGGAAAAATGATGGGAAGGTAATGGAGCAAGAGTTGGGAATTACCCTTCTCAAAAAGAAACAAATACATTCGGCCAGGCATGTGGTTCACACCTGTAATCCTAGTACTCCGGGAGGCCGAGGCGGGCGGATTACCTGAGGTCAGGAGTTTGAGACCAGCCTGGTCAACATGGTGAAACTCTGTCTGTACTAAAAATACAAAAAACAATTAGCCAGGCATGGTGGCATGTGCCTGTAATTCCAGCTACCCGGGAGCCTGAGGCAGGAGAATCGCTGGACCCCCGGGAGGCGGAGGTTCCAGTGAGCTGAGATTGCACCACTGCCACTCCAACCTGGGCGACAGAGCAAGACTTCATCTCAAAAAAAAAAGAAAGAAAGAAAGAAAGAAATAAACAATTACATTCAAATAATCAATAGGTTGAGTTGATCATGGTTGCCTCTGGGCAGTGGGTTGGGAAGGTGGGACAGGAAATGCGTTTTTTCATTATAAATGTAATGACTCCCATGTCCTAACTTCAATTCTTTAACCTCATGTACACAAATTAAATTTAAAAATTACTATAACTTGTGTAAACTATCCCCTGACTTTTCCAGCTGCCTGATGTATCAAGTCAAATTCTTCAGCCTGACCTTAAAGTTTCTCTACAATCTGTCTCCACCCTCCCTATATAATCTTATCTCTGATTTTTTCTCCCATCTCGTACTCTTAGTTTCAGTCAAGAACTATTCACTTGGCCTTCCTTAACCCTTTCCAAACATTATGCACCCAGCCTGGGATGTTCTCCCTTTTATCTGATCCAAACCCCTACCAGTGGATGGAAGAAGCCAGCACTAGAGTGAAAGTTATTCTCTGAGAACATTAAGAAGCACCAAAATGTTGTGAATGAGCTCAGCAGATTGGTAG
The DNA here is from genome assembly GCF_000001405.40 of Homo sapiens. Taxonomy (NCBI): domain Eukaryota; kingdom Metazoa; phylum Chordata; class Mammalia; order Primates; family Hominidae; genus Homo; species Homo sapiens. Next base: position 244,923,435 of record NC_000001.11, on the reverse strand, counting down.
TTTGATACACTGAGAAAGAATGAGTTCATAGAAGAGGGATAGTCTGTATGTATCTATAAAAGTAAGTTGCTGAATTATTCCACATAAATTCATTAAGTGCCTACCATGTGCCAGAGGCATATTACCCTGGGTGCATATAACAGGAGGAGGTATAGTTAAATACCAAGAATTCAGAGGGACAAAGGTATTACAATGAGTCTCTAGAGGACTAGAACTTTCTAGAAAAAAAGGAGTCAATGAACAACCACAAATGTCTCATCTACTAAGCAGACACGGTCTCTGTAGGGAGGGACGCTATGGGCTTGATGATATTTAGAGAATGGTTTATCAAAGTTCCATTTTGTGTCAGGCTAGGTGCTTTACATTCATTAAATCTGGCCCGCACGATAGCTCAATGGGATATATCTGTTACTATTTGCAGTTTGCAAATGAACAAACTGAAGCTCACGAAAGCCAAGGTCTCACAGCCAGAGTCAGAGGTGAGATTTTAATGCCCATTCTTGCTCCGCTACAGTCCACGGCCTCCACAGCCAACCAAATCATGCTCACCAAATCATGCTCACCAAATCATGCTCACCAAATCATGCTCATCAAGCAAACTTCTGATTTAATTTGACGTCACATGTAGGAGAAATGCTCTGGTTAGTCAATCTAATCTTACTTTACTAGGCAGTTGTAGTAATAATAAAAATATTGACTGATAGCATATATTGAACATTCGTTGGGCGCCAGGCTAAGAATTCCATGTGCGTGGATTAGAAACTATTATCCCTCCTTTACAGATAAGAAAACTAAGGCATAAAGGATGTTAATAACTTGCCTGGTGGCACACAACTATGAAGAGAGAGAGTCTGTGCTCTTGATCATTCTATGTATTGTCATCTAACATACACAATATTATTGAAAATATGACTTATTCATTTAAATAATATGTAGTGAGCACCTACTCCATGGCTTGGGGCTTGCTGGGAGAATATCAATGAAGTATAAGACCTAGTCTCTGTCTTGTAAATATGTACAGTTTAAGTGAGGAGGCAAGACATACGTAGTAAAATTATTGGATAACAATCAAGCTTTGTATATAATTAAGTATTGAATTGATTAGTGCAACCAACAAGGGCATTGAGATTTCAGAGAAGAGGAGCTCATTGAGCTCCGAAGCAGAGAAGAAGTTGGGGTTGAACAGAACCCAGCAGAAGAGAGAGAGGATTCTAGGAAAGAAATGAGAATGGTGTCTAGCGGAAAGGGACCTACTGGACCCAGTGGGTAGAGCAGTAGGATCCACAGGCAACTTCCTTCACAGCCTTACCTCTGACATTTTCAAGTTCAGAAGCGCCCTTCTTGGGCTGCTGATCCAATGCTCTTTCCAATTCAACTTTTTTTTTTTTTTTTTTTTTTTGAGACAGAGTCTCGCCCTGTTGCCCAGGCTGGCCTGGAACTCCTGCGTGATCCTCCCTCCTGAGTAGCTGGGATTACAGGCATGCATCACCCTCTGGCCAATTCAGCTTAAAACAAGAAAGTGCCAACACGGTAGCCTGAGCTTCTGAGTTTAACCCCTTCATCTCCTAAATTAGCTCCTAAGAGATTCAGGGACTGGGAGACTGTATGTCACCGGAAGGTAAAGCAAAATGTGTCTTGTTCATCACCATATCCCAGCGCCTCTAACAGAGACTGCCTCTTGCAGGTGCTCAATAAATGTTTATTAAGGAAGGAAAGAGCCTGCATAGCTAGCTGTCACTGTAGCCCAGTGGTTAATAATGTGAGGGGCAGCAGGGTGGGGTGGAGCCCAAACTCCCAGCTTAACATCTGGCTCTGCCGTGTGCCAGCTGTGTGATCTTACACAGTCACTTCACCTGCCTGTATCTCAACTTTCTCATCTGTAAAATGGGTCCTATGAGAGTATCTTCCTCATAGGGTTATTGTGAGTATTAAATGAATTAATAGACACAAAACACTTAAAACAGGGCTGGCATCTATTAAGAGCTACTTATGTTGCTCTTATCAGTAGACTGGCTCCAAAGCCAGACCACATGGATTGAAGCCTATCTTTGCTGTTTATGAAGAGAGTGGCTTCTCTGAACTTCAGTTTTTCCATTTGTAGTGTGGATATTATACTAACATAATAGTATCTATCTCATAAGACTATTGTAAGGATTAAATGAGTTAAAAGCATACAAAGCACCTAGCACAGGCCCGGAGCATCCCTCGATAATATAAGACAGTTACTCTCCTTGCTTAGTCACTGGGCTTTTCCTCTTACTCCACCACTGCAGCTGGCAGGTGGTAGCACATGTCTGAATTAGGCAAGACTTTATTTATGGAGTTTGTGTAGTTCTACCACTATCAGTTCCTCTTCGGCTTCCTTCTAGGGTAATCTGTACTTTAAAATAAATTTTAGACTTTTTATTATGCAATTTCCAAACATATATAAAACCAGACAGATGAACACAGTGAACCCCCAGGTACCCATCTCCCAGCTTCAATGATTATCCATCATACCACAATTACTTTCTCTCCTTACTGCCACTAGGTTATTTTGAAACAAATTCGAGATACAATTTCATCTATACTATTTCACTATGCGTCTTTAAAATCGAAAGAATATTTTTTAACATAACCACAATCATATTGCCACTCCTACGCATTTTTATAGTAATTCCTGCATATCATCAAAAAGCCAGCCAGCATTCAAATTTCCTTGATTTTCTCATAAATTATTTTATTTTACTTTTGCTTTTTTTTTTTTTTTTGAGATAGGGTCTTGCTCTGTCATTCAGAGTGCAGTGGTGTGATCCTGGCTCACTGCAGCCTCAATCGCCCAGGCTCAAGCAATCCCCCCATCTCAGCCTCCCAAAAAGGTGGTACCACAGGCATGTGCCACCACGCCTGGCTAATTTTTTAATTATTTGTAGAGACAGGGTCTCACTATGTTACCCAGGCTGGTCCTGAACTCCTGGCCCTCAAGCAATCCTTCTGCCCCAGCCTCCCCAAATGCTGGGATTACAGGCATGAATCACTGTGCCCAGCCAAATTATTATTTTTTAATTTATTATTTTTATCATGGTAAAATACACATAACATAAAATTTACCATCTTATTCATTTTTAAGTAAACAGTGGTATTAAATCCATTCATAATGTGCAACCATTACCATCATCCATCTCCTTAACTCTTTTTTTTACAATCTAAAAAAAAAAACAAAAAAATACCAGTATCCAAACAAAGTCCGGATGTTGCTTTTGTCTGAAGTTTCTTGGTCTCTTCTGACCCTAGAGGAGTTTCACGCCCTCCTTCTCTACCCCCTTGCAATCTATTGTTGAAGAAACTGAATGATGCGTGCTGTAGAGTTTCTCACTTTCTAAATTTTGCTGATTTTGCTTCCCCATGATGTCATTTAATATCTTCCTCTGACCCCTGGAATATTACATAGTCTTTCATAATACGTCAAAGACTTCTATGGTTGTGTCAGAAGGCTACAGGAGCCCTGGCTGAAAGTGGGGTATTTGGGCCATCAAATAAATAAGTAAATAAATACTGTAGCATATTAAGACACATCAAGTATGGTAACATCCACCGGTTGAGAGTAATGCTCCAAAAATAGATGGATTGGTCACCTTTGGAGAGTGCTAAGGAAACAACTCTTTATTCCAAAAATAAAGAGTAAGGATCAAGTATTTATTTTGCCCTTCCTGTATGAACTGTATTTAGGGTAGCCAAATAATTGATGGGAAAAGATCCTGCTGATACATGAAAGAAATGATAAATTAAAATATTGCCATTTTGCAACCTCTAATGAAATGAAGTATCTAAGCAATGATTATCAATGGCTGCTGAAACCACAGGTGAAGAGCTGAAGGAGAACTTTATAATGGACATATCGGGTTGACAGGATCCGAGCCCACTGATCAATCTTAACATCCCTGAGAGACACCCCAGCAGGTATGATGCGCACTGGATGTGACACAGTAGGAAGTCTGCAGCCTATGAAACAGACATACCAAAACAAATCTGAATCTGAGCAAGCCTCTCTGTGTAGCTCCCAGCTCGAAGGTAGTTTGTACTTTTTTTTCCAAAATGAGCAAATACTAAATAAAAAGCCAACAAAAATCCTTAGGCACATGTCCAACTGAACACCTCCTCATGGTGAGTGCGGGAAAACAGTCCTAGTCAGTACATTTGGGCCCCCACAGTTATAAAACCATCACATTCCCGAGGTGAGAATAGTTCTGCATATAACAAGTGGAAATTGCAGAGCGGAGGGGGCTTTGGACTTTTGGATGAGCACGGAGAATCTTTGTTTATCCTAATCTACAAGGTAAACTCGTTTCACACATGACACGGCTTTCAAATACATGGCTACTGCGTTCAGGAAAACGGTGTGACAGAGGCAAGCTGGCATCTGACAGCGGAATCATCCGTCAAGAATCCCTGGCGACGTGAGAGAGAGCGGAGGTGGCTCTGACGCGCCCACGCGGCTCGGGTAGTCTCCGCAGCCCCCGCGCGCACGTGGCGCGGTGTGGGTGTGCGCGCCCCCGAGCTGCCGGCTGCGCCGGTGCGCGCAGTTGTCAAGTGGGCTGGTGCCTGTCCCCGCCTGCCTCCCCGGGTCCCCGCCTGCCTGCCCGGGTCCCCGCCTGCCTCCCCGGGTCCCCGCCTGCCTGCCCGGGTCCCCGCCTGCCTCCCCGGGTCCCCGCCTGCCTCCCCGGGTCCCCGCCTGCCTCCCCGGGTCCCGCCGCGTGGTGCCCAGGAAGCGCGGGGCTCCTCGCACACGCTGCCGGCCTCATTATTTCTTTAAACCTGTTCGTATTTATAATCCAATTCCGGAAAACCCAAGACCCATAGGCTTCTCCCTCCCTACGCTCCAGTCTCAAATTCTGCATTCCTGGGTAAAGCCATGTAGATGCGGATCTCATTTTGACAGATAACTAAATTACATATATTTCGAAAACCCGCAACTCTCATAAGATTTTTACCAGCTGGCCACCAGTGCCCAACATATTGCACATTTTGGAGTCGTTTAGTTCTCCACTTTCTACTTACGAGCACTGGTACCTTTTTTTTTCTTTTTTAATTTATTTCAGGGATCACATGAAAAAATATGAATTACAAGGAATGAAATTTCAATACAAAAATGAGTCCTAGATTCTTACCTTAGGTGGACTCTAATTATTATTATTATTATTATTATTATTATTTTTTTTTTTTTTTTTTTTTTTTTTTTTTTTTTGAGACAGGGTCTCGCTCTGTCGCCCAGGCTGGAGTGCAGGGGCGCAATCTCGGCTCACTGCAAGCTCCGCCTCCCGGGTTCACGCCATTCTCCTGCCTCAGCCTCCCGAGTAGCTGGGACTGCAGGCACCCACCACCACGCCCTGCTAATTTTTTGTATTTTTAGTAGAGACGGGGTTTCACCGTGTTAGCCAGGATGGTCTCGATCTCCTGACCTCGTGATCCGCCCGCCTCGGCCTCCCAAAGTGCTGGGATTACAGCGTGAGCCACCGCGCCCGGCCTATTTTTTAACATATAGGAAGATTTCAAAGTCCACTGGATTCTTACTATTTTGCTTTTGAATGCATAAAAGAAACAGCCAAATAACACTTTTCAATAATTTATTTTTAAAAGTTATTTTATTCCTAAACAGTAGAGTTCACATCTTTTTCTGCTAAGTTCTTCCACAAGCTGGCAAAGGATCCAAGATGTAGCCTGGCATTTATCTTTGTTCTCTTTGCCACTCTCATGGAAATATGGTGAATGCAGTCCGTTCTTAACGGTCGTATTTAGCCTCGGTTCTGTGAATTCGATTTTCTTTTCCTTTTTAAAGGCGATAGAGTGGGATCCAATAGACGTTGGAGCTGACTCTGAGCTTTTTTGACTTGTACGTGTCACATCTGAAGGCAAGTTCCCTCGTGCTGGATGAAAGCTAAAAGGCTGGGTGCCCGGTTTACCATCAGCTCAGGGCAGAATAATGATGCGAGGCCTGACATTTAATACACCAGTGATCCCAGATATTGCTGCTGAAAGCTTTCTCCACAAAGCAGGAACCAGAAGAACCTTACGGCAGTGTCTGACTTTAATTCACAAGTGAGGGAGCCGTGAGGTGAGGGTCAACTATCACGTGTCTCTTCAACACAAGGGAAAGAACTGCCCAGCAAAGAGAACCCTATGTATGTCATAAATATGAGCTCACAGAGTGCGTGGACCCTTTCAACGCAATGTCAGAGGCTGCCTCTGCAGAATTGTTTTAGATAGGTTTTTAACCCTGTGGGACCCTGCCTCATGGGAACAGTGTCTATGCTGCAGTCTCTAAGCAAAGAATAGACTGGGATGCCTTTTGTAGGTTATATCTGCATGTTTTTTTCTCCCTCTAAGTCACCTTACCCCAGAAGCTCTCTTTTTATAAGATATCCTACTAGGATTCTTTAGGAGGGGAAGGGAAATGTGATTCTTATGTACGGCAGCTGTCATTTCATGTACTTGTCTTTACTTCTTTGTTAGTGGTGCTTATCACAAAATATTATTAATTACTTCAATTCACTAATTATCTTGTTTTTCAGTTGGTTTCGACAACCACTAAGGGACATTACTAAGGCTCTGCTTCAAACCAATACCGTGATTGTTAAAGTTTCAAATGTGTATTTCATAAGCAATTGTTGCTAAGGATTTTTTGTTGAAAAGATAAAAAGTATTATTTGTTAAGTATCATCCTTATCATGACATCAATATACTGAATATGGCTTCCACTTTTTCCAGGGCATTGAGAAGGCCTGAGCTTCTCAAGGTCATGGCCACCCCATTCCCTTCCAGTGTTCTAACACTGCTAGGACTATAGGCTGTGCACAGAGAGTATTTGCTAAATAGACAAGAGGCTCCTATTTCAACTTAGTTCATTTTTTTTGTTATAAGAAGTGGGCACTGGTGAGAAATCATGGAGCACAACTAAAAAGAAAAAAGAAAGCTTTGAAAATTTCAGCTCTGCAGAGACTGTGGGAGGAGAGGAAATCCTACCTGTAAAATAAAAACTTGTCTTAAAAAATAAATATAAGGAGAAACTAAAACCTAAAGTGGAGAAATGAGATACTGGGCTTGATTTCATATGCCATCCTTGCCCGCAATGAACTGGTTATCTTAATGGAACACAATAAGTTAATTTATCATGCTGATATTCAAAAAACAAACACGATGATTAGCTCAGGTTCCCTTAAAATAATTTCCTTTTAATTACACATAAGCAGATACTTATTATGCTGAATTAATTAATCTTAGAATAAATTAATCTTAATGTATACTGATACGGAGCATTATTCCATGTCTGAAAATTGGCCAGAATTTTTTCTTGGTTATGAGAGAGAGCCTGCCGTAATCTAAGTCTATGTGGGATTCTTTGACGTACAAAGAAGTTATCAACTTGTAGAGCTGGGAAGAATCTTGGAAATCTCATGCTCCAACTGGTTCAGTTTATCCAAGAAGGAACTGGAGCCCAGCGTGGTGAGAGGACGAGCACCAAAACAAACAGGTGACCGGAGCGTGAGCGTCAGAAGCTCCAGCTGCTGCCCTAGTCATTGATGCAGGTTCTGTCCCAGTGAAGGGGGGAACATAAGCTCCCTTCACTGGGACAGAACTACATCAATTACCCCTTCAGTATTTCATCTGGAGTTTTTCTCCCTTTCCAAAACTTTTAAAACACAGTATTAGAGAATTTCCAAATAATAATAATAATAATAGTCATAGAATGCCCTCAAATTCACAGAAGCATTACATATTATATGCAAAATTATGATATAGAAGATATTTCATCTTTTGAGAGAGATGTATAAGAAAAGAAAAATGTAAAACAGATTTTGTCAAATTTGCTCAAATCAATTTTTTTTGAGGTTTTGTTTTGTTTTGCTTTTGAGATGGAGTCTCACTCTGTTGCCCAGGCTGGAGTGCAGTGGCTCGCCCATGGCTCACTGCAACCTCTGCTTCCCAGGTTCAAGCGATTCTCGTGCCTCAGCCTCCCGAGTACCTGGGACTACAGGTGCGCACCACCACGCCCAGCTAATTTTTGAATTTTTTAGTGGAGACAGGGTTGGTCTCTACTAAAGGCTATTGGTCAGGCTGGTCTTGAACTCCTGGCCTTGAGTGATCTACCCACTTCGGCCTCCCAAAGTTCTGGGATTACAGGTGTGAGTCACCGCACCCGGCCATGAACTTCTTGAGTTTTAATCATGTGTACCAACATAAAGGATCAAACTTGATAGTAAGACAGGGGTGCAATCTTACGAAATCTAATCTAAACAATTTAAAGAGTGTCAGTCGATAATTTTCAAACTTTTATTCTTAAAAATATTGCTCAGAACCCTAAAACACCGTAACAGATGTAAGTGGAGCTGCTCTGGTTAAAGTTGAAAAAAAAGAGTCCCAGTGACTTGGCCTCCTTTCTTTTCCTTCATTGGAGGCTGTATGGCTCAGCTGGAAAACCCAGTGATTGAAGGGAATTCCTAGAAGCAGTCAGAACTAAGCCTAGACAAACAGTGGTGCATGAGCGTGGCTGAGCTGTTTTATTATGTTCACAACCAGTTTAATCACTATCTCATGATGAATTTAGCTTTGCCTCTCTGATGGTAAGTTCAAATATACTCTTCTCTCTCTTTAAAAAAAATTTTTTTTGAGACTTGCTCTGTCGCCCAGGCTGAAGTGCAGTGTTGCGATCTCTGCTCACTGCAGCCTCTGCCTCCTGGGTTCAAGTGATTTGCCACCATGCCCAGCTAATTTTTGTATTTCTAGTAGAGGCAGGGTTTCACCATGTTGGCCAGGCTGGTCTCGAACTCCTGACCTCAGGTGATCTGCCCACCTTGGCCCCCCAAAGTGCTGGGATTACAGGCATGAGCCACCGCACCAGGCCTCTGTCTCTCTCTCTTTTTTTTTAAGTTCTGTATGTTTTACTTGATCTTTCATTCTCTGTGGCAGAGTTTTAAACTATAAGATGTGTAAGAATCACCTGGGAATCTCCTTGAAAATACAGCTTCCCAGCCTCTATTCTTTTTTTTTTTTTTTTTTTTTTTTTTTTTTTTTTTTTTTTTTTTGAGACGGAGTCTCGCTCTGTCGCCCAGGCTGGAGTGCAGTGGCGGGATCTCGGCTCACTGCAAGCTCCGCCTCCCGGGTTCACGCTTTTTTTTTTTGAGACAGAGTCTGGCTCTGTTGCCCAGGCTAGAGTGCAATGGTGTGATCTTTGGCTCACTGCAACTTCCATCTCCTGGATTCAAATGATCCTCTCACCTCAGCCTCTCAAGAAGCTGGGACTATAGGCATGCGCCACCACGCCCAGCTAATTTTTGTATTTTTAGTAGAGTTGGGGTTTCACCATCTCTCGAACTGGTCTTGAACTCCTGACATCAAGTGCTCCACCTGCCTTGGCCTCCGGAAGTGCTGGGATTACAGGCGTGAGCCACGGCGCCCGGCCACCGGCCTCTATTCTGCAAGTTCCGTCTCAGGAATTCCGGAGTGCAGCCCATCAATCTGTATTCTCACAGAGACACTTCAAGTGAGCTGCAGGCCCCTCAGTGAGCAACACTGTTCAGGAGCGTCTCATAAAATGCCTTACACGAGGCGCTTATGTATCACGCTTATTTCCTGAATTTAATTTTCATCATATTAATTAAAGAGGGGCTTCATATTTTCAGGTCCTAATGATTATGCAAATTATGACAGTACTAACTGATAATCTCATAATTATATATTAAATTGGAATGGGTGCATAGGTTTTTGACAAAAATGAGTCCTGTGGGGCTTTATGGAAAGTACTTTGAGTAAGCAGGAACCTTAATACAGTAAAGTAATAAATTGAAAAACCACTAATGAGGCTGGGCACGGTGGCTGGTGCCTGTAATCCCAGCACTTTGGGAGGCCAAGATGGGAGGGTTGCTTGAGGCCAGGAGTTCAAGACCAGCCTGGTCAACATAGGGAGACCCCATCTCCAAAAAGGAAAAAAAAAGAAAAAAGAAAAACCACTAGTAAAGAAAATGTAGAAGGAATCTTCTTTCATGTGATAGCATTTTTCTAACTGAAATCAGCAACTAACATTATACTTAGGGATAAAATCCCATAGACATTCATTTACAAATCTGAAACAAAAGCACAAAGTGTGTCCCCTCATCGCCACCATTATTCAATGTTGTTCTGGTAGTTTTAGCCCATGTAAAAAGATGATGAAGAAATGAGCCTATTGGGAAAATGAGATTAAATGATTCCCTTTTTTTTGCAGTTGCTATGTCTGTGTAGTCAGAAACCCCAAGAGAATCAACGAAACACTGATGGAAAGAATAAGAGAATTCATAAAGTAGCTGGTTATAAGACCGATATTAAAAAATAGCTTTCCTATAAACCAGTTACAAAATAGAGTGGGAGAAGTCAAAATATCAACCAAAGAGGATATAAGTCTAAATACAAACAAAATGAGAAGTGTAAGAAAACTTTAGGAAGAAAACTAAGAATCTCTCCTGAAGCACTCGAAGCCTTCAGTCAATGGAGAGGCATGTCCTGTTCCCAGCAGGAAAGATTTCATATTAAAACACTGTCTCCAAATTAATCTACACTTTAACTCAATTTCAAACAAAAAATCCAAAAGGATTTTGCTGGAAATTAGCAAAGTGACTCCAAAGTTAATCTGGAAGACTAAATGCATGGCAGTATCCAAATACAATGTTAAATTTCGCAAAGGTCTCTCTTAAAAAGGAACATTCACATTTACTCCTTCGGTCTTCTAACTTTGTAGAGTAAAATTGCCTCCATTTAATTTTCATTTGATAGTTGAGAAACTGAGGCACAGTATGGCTACCTTTAAAAGGCCATTTCTGGCCAGGTGGGGCGGCTCACGCCTGTAATCCCAACGTTTTGGGAAGCCGAGGCAGGCAGATCGCTTGAGCCCAGGAGTTTGAGACCAGCCTGGGCAACATGGCAAAACCCCGTCTCCACTAAAAATACAAAAAAATTAACCAGGTGTGGTGGTGTGCATCTTTAGTGCCAGCTACTTGTGAGGCTGAGGCGGGAGGATTGCTTGAGCCTGGGAGGCAGAGGCTGCAGTGAGCCGAGATCGTGCCACTGCACTCCAGCCTGGGCGACGGAGTGAGACCCAGTCTCTAAATAAATAAATAAATAAATGGCCATTTCCATGAACACTCATGGGATTGCCGTGCTCTCTCTACTAGACCAGTGCTGTTGTCAATTATATTAGGTTTTTCCCCTGTCATTATTTTTATTTTTTTATCTCAACAAATTTTTGACTCAGTACCTGACTATCCCATGGAAATAACAAAGCCCAGCCCCAATATCACTTCTTGTATCTGTCACGATGATGCAGACTCTCATCTCTATCTCTCAGCGTAATTGCATGAATCCCAGTGACTGTGATTTCTACATGGCTCAAATTGTAACCTATTTTTGTAGTTCTCTGCAGACCCACCACGGTTTCCATTCTTCCTTCATGTTCTCCTTGATCTAGAGTAAAATACAGCTTTCCCATCAGAAGTTATTCTTGCAAGGATTCTGTGTGCTTTGCCTATATTTAGTCACCTGAATCCTCTTATCTGTTTCAGTTTTCACCATGAAAATTGAACTCATTGAAATATCCAAATTTCTATTTCTAGCCAAAGAATCTGGTAATCTGCAGGCCAGGCACAGTTGCTCACGCCTCTAATCTCAGCACTTTGGGAGGCCGAGGTGGCTGGATCACAAGGTCAAGAGATCGAGACCATTCTGGCCAACATGGTGAAACCCCGTCTCTACTAAAAATACAAAAATTAGCTGGGCATAGTGGCACATGCCTGTAGTCCCAGCTACTCGGGAGGCCGAGGCAGGACAATCAGTTGAACCTGAGAGGCGGAGGTTGCAGTGAGCTGAGACTGCACCATTGCACTCCAGCCTGGCGACAGAGGGAGACTCCGTCTCAAAAAAAAAAAAAAAAAAAAAATCTGGTAATCCCCAAGAAAATAGTGATTACCAAATCATCACACTATAATTTTTAAAATAACATACTGAAAGCACTAAAAGATTCTTGGTAGACCTGAATTAAGTGTGACTTTGTATGTATTTTACTACTAATAATAACCATAATAGCAGTTAACATGTGTTAAGTGTTCACTGCGTACCAGCTGCTGCTCTTTCTGAGCACTTTACATGCATTAACTCATAATCTCAACAACCCGATTCTTCAGTTACATTTATAATTTCTGTATTACAGATACAGAAATTGAGGGACAGAGAGATAAAAGCCACTTGCTTATAGTAAAAAGCAAACAAATAAATAAGAACAACCATAGCAAAACAATTGCTAAATGACTGCACATTTAAGGCCGCAACTTTCAGATTGCATAGTTTCTTTAGACGTGTTACTCACCCAAAGTACTTGTACTAATTTTGTATTTTAAAAACCCATCATTGGAAATTAAGACCCTATTCCATTTGAAAAATATATCTGTGTATTATGTGGGGCAGAGGTCACCCACCCAGGAGTTTGCAGATTTCCCCAAATTGCCTTTCTAGTATTAGAAGAGCTTGACACAAATATAAAAAGTTTGTCAGGCTTCCTTTTCTCTCCTGGAGAATGATCTTTCCAAATAATTAACAGTGGAGACCTCTGTTCCCACCTCATGTGAGTGGTTGCTTTTTTTTCTTTCTTTTTTGAGATGGAGTCTCGTTCCGTTGCCAGGCTGGAGTGCAGTGGCATGATCTCGGCTCACTGCAACCTCTCCCTCCCGGGTTCAAGCGATTCTCCTGCCTCAGCCTCCAGAGTAGCTAGGACTGCAGGTGTGCGCCACCACATCCAACTAACTTTTGTTTTTTTAGTAGAGATGGGGTTTCGCCATGTTGGCCAGGATGGTCTCAATCTCTTGACCTCATGATCCCCCCGCCTCGGCCTCCCAAAGTGCTGGGATTACAGGTGTGAGCCACTGCACCCGACCACAAGTGGTTGCTTTTTAAAGTCTTACTGCCTGGCCGTGGTATTGAATTTCCACACAGGTGCTGCTGTTGCAACTCTTCAACCTAGCAGTCAACCTAGCCATTTTAAAACATTTATTAAAATGAAACTATGCACCTTCTCTATAGTTGCTGTTCAGTAATACTTTCCTGTCCGGATGGTCGGTTGGAATGAATGGATGGAAGGATGTATAAATAACCTCATTCTTCTTTGTGTACCTTGTGATTTGAGGAGAGGGTCAATTATCAGAATATAAAAGACGAGTGGTCTCTAGGTGCAAAGAAGTAGACTTAATTAGGAGACTGTCCTGGGAAATGTAGTATTGGAAATGTTGAAACTATTAAGAAAAGAGAAAATACACAGCAGTATCAATATCGATATACATGCGCCAGTGAATTCTAGTGTTGGATGGGCTCTGTTCCTTGCTTGTGTCTTGTTCTCCTGCATCACCTGTCTTTTGTTGTTGTTGTTGTTGTTGTTTTTGTGTGTGTGTATTTTTAGTAGAGACAGGGTTTCACCATGGTGGCCAGGCTGGCCTTGAACTCCTGGCCTCAAGTGATTTGCCCATCTCGGCCTCCCAAGTGCTGGGATTACAGGTGTGAGCCACCACACCCAGCCCTGCATCACCCGTTCTCAGCTCAGCTGTGGTGATGAGGATCTCGTCACTCTGGACTCCCCGTACTGTTTCCTTCCCTCCTTCCTTCCGGGTCTCCCTAGGTTGCCCAGGCTGGTCTCCAACTCCTGTGCTTAAGCTTTCCTCTCACCTTGGCTTCCCAATGTGCTGGGATTATAGGCGTGAGCCACCGTGCCTGGCCTGTGCTGTTTATGATTGATGGTGACTGTCCCCCCTGCTTTTGGTATCTAAAAGATCATACACTTCATAACTGTATAAAATCACTAAAAAGGGATTGATTTTGTGATGTCACAATTTTTGTCCATGTAATCGAAATGAAAATTCTGGCAGTAATTTTTCTTAATACCTTTCCTTGGAAGGTTATTTTTAAGTTAGTAAAATAGTAACTGGAAGACTGACATCCTTTCCACATATTACTTTTTTTTTTTTTTTTAAGACAGTCTCACTCTATGGCCCAGGCTGGAGTGCAGTGGCACAATCTCAGCTCACTGCAACCTCTGCCTCCAGAGTTCAAGAGATTCCCCTGTCTCAGCCTCCCTAGTAGCTGGGACTACAGGCACGTGCCCCCCAGCCCGGCTATTTTTTTTTTTTTTTGTATTTTTGGTAGAGACAGTTTTATCATGTTGGCCATGCTGGTCTCAGACCCTGGCCTCAAGTGATCCGCCTGCCTCGGCCTCCCAAAGTGCTGGGATAATAACAGGCATGAGCGTGCCCAGTCCGCATATTACATTTAAGTGTAGTTTTTTGTTTTTTTTTTCACATTCCTGTGGATATACTAAATGCCAGTGAACTGCACCCTTAGAAATGGTTAATTTTGGCCGGGTGCGGTGGCTCACACCTGTAATCCCAGCACTTTGGGAGGTCGAGGCGGGCGGATCACCTGAGGTCAGGAGTTCGAGACCAGCCTCAACATGGAGAAACCCCGTCTCTACTAAAAATACAAAATTAGCTGGGCATGGTGGCGCATGCCTGTAATCCTAGCTACTCAGGAGGCTGAGGCAGGAGAATTGCTTGAACCTGAGAGGCAGAGGTTGCTGTGAGCTGAGATCGCACCATTGCACTCCAGCCTGGGCAACAAGAGCAAAACTCTGTCTCAAAAAAAAAAAAAAAAAAAAAAAGAAATGTTTACTTTTATGTCATGTGATTGCATCTCAATACAAAATAATTCACGGCCAGGTGCGGTAGCTCACACCTGTAATCCCAGCACGTTGGGAGGCCAAGGTGGGCAGATCACCTGAGGTCAGGAGTTCGAGACCAGTCTGACCAACATGGTGAAACCCTGTCTCTACTAAAAATACAAAATTAGCCAGGCATGATGGCAGATGCCTGTAATCCCAGCTACTCGGGAGGCTGAGGCAGGAGAATCGCTTGAACCTGGGAGGCAGAGGTTGCAGTGAGCCGAGATTGCGCCATTGCATTCCAGCCTGGGCAACAAGAGTGAAACTCCATCTCAAAAATAATAATAATAATAATTCACATAACAAATTCACCATTTTAACCATCTTAGAGTGTACAATTCAGTGGTTATTGTTTTTTAGAGCATACTCACAATGATGTGCAACCATCACCACTATTTTTTTTTCCTGCATCCAGTCATCCACTAACGTCACCACTATTAATTCCAAAATATTTTCATCACCCGGCTCCCAAAACCCCATACTCATTAAAAGCAGTCACTCTCCGTTTTCCCCTCCTGCAACCTATACAAATACTAATCTGCTTCTAGGCCTGGCGCGATGGCTCACGCCTGTAATCCCAGCACTTTGGGAGGCCAAGGCGGGCATGTCATTTGAGGCCAGGAGTTTGAGACCAGCCTGGCCAACATGGTGAAACCCTGTCTCTACTAATAATACAAAAATTAGCCGGGGCGTGGTAGCGCACGCCTGTAATCCCAGCTACTACAGAGGCTAAGGCAGGAGAATTGCTTGAACCCGAGGCAGAGGTTGCAGTGAGCCGAGATCGCACCACTGTACTCCAGCCTGGGCGACAGAGTGAGACTCTGTCACAAAACAAACAAACAAACAAAACCTACTAATCTACTTCTATCTTTACAGATTCGTCCCTTTTGGACATTTCGTATAAATAGAATCCCAATATGTGCCCTTTTATTTCTGGCAACTTTCACTTAGCATAATGTTGTAGGTTCACCTGTGTCGTAGCATGGATTAGCACATCATTCCTTTTTATGGCTGAAGAATATTCTATTGTATGACTTTATCATTTTCTTTATCAGTTGATGGACATTTGAGTAGTTTCCACATTTTGACTTTTATGAATAATTCCTCTTTTGTTTTTTGGAGATGGAGTCTCACTCTGTTCCCCAGGCTGGAATGCAGTGGCGTGATCTCGGCTCACTGCAACCTCCGTCTCCTGGGTTCAAGAGATTCTCCTGCCTCAGCCTCCTGAGTAGCTGGGATTACAGGTTCCTGCCACCACACTCAGCTAATTTGTTTGTATTTTTAGTAGAGGTGGGGTTTCATCACGTTGGCCAGGGTCGTCTTGAACTCCTGACCTCAAGTGATCCACCCGCCTTGGCCTCCCAAAGTGTTGGGATTACAGGCGTGAGCCACTGCACCTGACCTTTTATGAATAATTCTCTCGTGAACATTTGTTTATAACTTTTTGTGTGAATATATGTTTTCAGTTCTCTTGGATACATACCTAGGAGTTGAATTGCTGGGCCACGTGGTAACTCTAGGTTTAACTTTTTGAGGAAATGCTCAACTACTTTCCCACAGCAGCTGCACCAATCTGTATCCCCATAAGTACTGTACAAGGGCTCCTATTTCTCCACATCCTTGCCAACACTTGTTATTCCTCCTCCCCCTTTTCTTTTAATTATAGCCATCCTAGTGGGTGTTATGAGTGCTATCTCATTGTGGTTTTGATTGGCATTTTCCTAATGACTAATGATGCTGAGCGTCTTTTCATGTGCTTGCTCATTGGCCAGTTGGTTCCTTCTTATTCTTCAGGTTTCATCTTCTCAGAAAGAACTTTTCACGGAGCATGGTGGTGCACGCCTGTAATCCCAGCTACCCAGGAGTCTGAGGCAGGAGGATTGCGTGAGTCCAGGGGTTCAAGGACAGCCTGGGCAACATAGTGAGACCCCTGTCTCAAAAGTAAATAAGTAAAAATAAAAAATAACTTTCCTAACAAACTTTCGGAAGTCAACCTTTCCCCTATAATTATTTCCTAGGGTTATGTTAGTGTCCACAGAGTACTGACCACATTCTGTTATGATTTGATCATCTTGTTGACTGCACTTAGCCAAGCACAACTGCTGGCACAGCATGGGGGCTCCGCACTTATTTAATGAACAAGTCAATGCGAAGATTAATGAGACATAAAATCAAGCAGTGTTAGGACTGCCATGGTGGCTCACTCCTGTAATCCCAGCATTTGGGGAGGCTGAGGCAGGCGGATCACTTGAGGCCAGGAATTTTAGAACAGCCTGGGCAACATGGTGAAACCCTGTCTCTACTAAAAATACAAAAATTAGCCAGGCCTGGTGGCAGGAGCCTGTAATCCCAGCTACTCAGGAGGCTGAGGCATGAGAATCACTTGAACCCGGGAGGCTGCAGTGAACTGAGATCGCACCACTGCACTCCAGCCTGAGCAACAGAGCGACACTCCATCTCAAAAAAAAGAAAAAAAAAAAAAGGAATACAGGAAATCAGACAGATGAAACCGGATAAGAAGCTGACACAGAAAAAGTAAATAGTGGGAGGAGAGTTGGTAGGAAAACTCTCGTGACCACTGAGTTAAGTGTCAAAAGCAAGCCTAATGTAATGGGACAAAACGGACAAAATATGCCTTTAGCCTTAAAAAATGTTCTTACCCTTTAACTTAGTAGGTTTTTTTTGTTTGTTTTGTTTTTTGTTTTTTCAAGACAGGGTCTCACTCTGTCCCCCAGGCTGGAGTACAGTAGTGCGATCTCCACTCACTGTAACCTCCACCTTCTGGGCGCAAGCAATTCTCCCACCTCAGCCTCTCGAGTAGCTAGGACTGTAGTCACATGCCACCATGCCTGGCTAATTATTGTATTTTTTGTAAAGATGGGGTTTTGCATGTTGCCCAGGCTGGTCCTGAACTCCTGGGCTCAAGCGATCCACCTGCCTCGGCCTCCCAAAGTGCTGGGACTACAGGCGTGAGCCACCATGCCCAGCCTAGCAGTTCTTTTTAGAAATTTATCCTGAGAAAATAATCAGACATGTGGGAAAATTTAGGTTACGAGTATCCCCACTGTGGCATTTCACCATAATATCAGAAAGTTGGAAACAACATAAATGCCCCTCAACAGGGAACGAATGGTTCTATAAACCCACAGTGGCATTGTCACATGATAAAATACTATGCTGCCAGAACCAGTGAAAATATTTACTGAAATATTAGAATTTAGCTTTGGGCAGAAAGAACACAGAAACTGGGAAATGAAATGTTCAGAACTACTGATTATTGAAAAAAACAACAACAAAACTTCAAGGGCTAGGGCCAGAAACACAGCCCTCAGTCTGAAGGAAGATCCTTGAGAAAAGTTGAAAGGAAACTGGGCGCGGTGGCTTACGCCTGTAATCCCAGCACTTTGGGAGGCCGAAGTGGGTGAATCACCTGAGGTCAGGAGTTCGAGACCATCCTGACCAACATGGCGAAACTCTCTACTAAAAATACAAAAAGTAGCCGGGCGTTTGGGAGGCCGAGGCGGGCGGATCACGAGGTCAGGAGATCGTGACCATCCTGGCTAACACGGTGAAACCCCGTCTCTACTAAAACAAAGACCAAAAAATTAGATGGGCGCGGTGGCGGGCGCCTGTAGTCGCAGCTACTCGGGAGGCGGAGGCAGGAGAATGGCGTGACCCGGAAGGCGGAGCTTGTAGTGAGCCAAGATCGCGCCACTGTCACTCCAGCCTGGGCGACAGAGCGAAATTCTGTCAAAAAAAAAAAAAAAAAATTAGTCACGTGTGGTGGCGGGCGCCTGTAGTCCCAGCTACTCGAGAGGCTGAGGCAGGAGAATCGCTTGAACCGGGGAGGCGGAGGTTGCAGCGCGCCGAGATCGCGCCGTTGAACTCCAGCCTGGACAAAAAAAGCGAAATTCCGTCTCAAAAAAAAAAAAAAAAGAGTCCCTGCGAGCCCCCAGTCCCCTCCACCGTGAGGACACAGTGAGAAGGTGCCGTCTCCGAACCGGAAGTGTGCACTCACCAGACACGGAATTTGCCAGCGCCTTCATCTTGGACTTTTCTGTTTTCAGCATTCTGAGATAATACATTTCTGTTGTTTGTAAGCGGCCAGTTATGCTATTTTGTTATAGCACCCCGAATGGACTAAGACTGAATAGGCTGAGACAGGATAAGGATGAGAGGAAGAAATGGTGCCAGGCAGTGGAAATAGCAGAGGTAAAAACCCTGCGGTGGCAAGAAGTCCAATCTGACTGAGAAGTGGGGTGGGGCTGGGAGGAGTCACGTGAGAGAGACTGTCTGGGTGGGCAGGGATCACACCATGCAGGGCTTTGCTGGCCACATTCAATAAAAACTAGGGATTTGGGACTAAAATCAAAAGCATGTCACTAAAAAATTGCTGTTGGTCTATTCTGGTAAGTGACATTGTAAGAGTTCCCCCTCTTCTCAAACTACCTTTTGGGATGTTTGCTCCTTCCTTTCTTCCTTCCTTCCTTCCTTTCTTGAGATGGGGTATCCCTGCTCTGTTGCCTACGCTGGCATGATCATAGCTCACTGCAGCCTCGAACTCCTGATTGCAACCTTCCTCCTGCCTCAGCCTCTGGACTAGCTGGGACTACAGGCATGCACCACCACACCTGGCTAATTTTTAATTTTTTTTTTTTTTTTTTAGAGACAGGGTTTCCCCATGTTACTCAGGTCAGTCTCGAACTCCTGAACTCAAGCGATCCTCCCACCTCAGCCTTTCAAAGCACTGGGATTATAGGCATGAGTCACCGTGTCTGGCCTGGCCTGTTTTTAGTATGTGGTCTCACACGCTTGGGCCACAGTTTATTGGAGCAGAAGTATCTCACTCTAAATTTCTAACCCTTTTTTTTTTTTGAGACGGTCTTGCTCTGTCACCCAGGCTGTAGTGCAGTGGCATGATCTTGGCTCACTGCAACCTCTGCCTCCCGGGTTCAAGTGATTCTCCTGCCTCAGTCTCTCGAGCAGTTGGGACTACAGACGTACACAACCATGTCGAGTGAATTTTTTGTATTTTTAGTAGAGACGAGGTTTTGCTATGTTGGCCAGGCTGGTCTTGAACTCCTGGCCTCAAGTGATCTGCCCACCTTGGCCTCCCAGAGTGCTGGGATTGCAGGCATGAAACTCGCAGCCGGCCTCTAATGCTTTTTTTTTTTTTTTTTTTTTTTTTTTTTTGAGACGGAGTTTCACTCTTGTTGCCCAGGCTGGAGTACAATGGTGTGATCTTGGCTCACCGCAATCTCCACCTCCCGGGTTCAAGCAATTCTCCTGCCTCAGCCTCCCAAGCAGCTGGGATTACAGGCATGAGCCACCATGCCTAGGCCTACCAAAGTCCTGGGATTACAGGCATGAGCCACTACACCCAGCAAATGCTTTTTTTAAAGTAGACTTTTATCAGATGTATTTTATAGTCTAAGAAAGTTATGTCAAGTATTAGCTTTTAATTCTTAAAGAGAGCAAGAATTTACCTTCTATGAACATTTAAAGAACATCTGAACAGGATCAAACTCTTTTCAGATCTAGAGACGACATGAAAACAACCCCAAAACGAGGGTTCAAGTATTTTCCTTTAACAAGGTTTCAAGGAGAAAATCTCTTTAAAAAAAAAAAAAACTTTTATTATCTGATTTGCTTATGTGCTGTTTTGCTTAAAGAATAATACAGTTTGTTGTGTGAGATTAAAAGTCCATATTCGTGGTCATCCTGTAGATTTCGGCTGCAACTCCTTGATCTCTATACCTCATTTTCCTACTCCTTACCAAGGCTTTTTTTTTTTTTTTTTTTTTTTGAGATGGAGTCTCCCTCTGTTGCCCAGGCTGGAGTGCAGTGACACGATCTCCACTCACGGCAACCTCTGCCTCCTGGGTTCAAGCGATTCTCCTGCCTCAGCCTCCTGAATAGCTGGGATTACAGGCACCTGCTACCATGCCCAGCTAACTTTTGTATTTTTAGTAGAGACGGGGTTTCACCACATTGGCCAGGCTGGTCTTGAACTCCTGATCTCAGGTGATCTGCCCACCTCGGCCTCCCAAAGTGCTGGGATTACAGGCGTGAGCCACTGTGCCCGACCCTTACCAAACATTTTAGGTGGCCAAATGCTTACCAGAGGTAAATGACTACATATAAAATATTTGTGAGATTTTCTGATGAAGTTTGAATGTCTCCTTTAGACCAGTGGTTCTCAGTCCGAATGATTTCGCTTCCAGGGGACATCTGGTAATGTCTGAGATGTTTTTGATGGTCACAACTTGGGAAGGTGGTCCTTCCTATATAGTGGATAGAGGCTGGGGATGCCACTGAACATCCTATAAAATACACAAAACAGGCCGGGCGCGGTGGCTCACACCTGTAATCCCAGCACTTTGGGAGGCCGAGGCGGGTGAATCACGAAGTCAGGACTTCGAGACCAGCCTGGCCAACATGGTGAAACCCCATCTCTACTAAAGATACAAATAATTAGCCGGGCGTGGTGGTGGGTGCCTATAATCCCAGCTACTCGAGAGACTGAGGCCGGAGAATCACTTGAACCCGGGAGGTGGAGGTTGCAGTGAGCCGACATCTCTCCATTGCACCCCAGCCTGGGAGACAGAGCGAGACTCCATCTAAAAAAAAAAAAATAAACCACACATGACAACACCCCCTTCCCTGCCCAACACCAAAGAATTATCTGGTGCAAAACACCAATAGTGCTAAGGTTGAGAAACCCTGTTATAAAGTAAAGAATGAGCCAGTGATCTTCCATGGAAGGGGTGTTATTTCTCTCTCTCTCTCTTTAATTTCCTTTTACACAGAAATACCATAAGATTTAACAAAAACAAAAACATTATAAGGATTCCAATTATATGACATTCTAGAAAAGGCAAAACTATGATGACAGTAAAAAGTTTGGTAGTTGCCAGGGGTTAGTGGGAGGGAGGGGTGAACAGGCAGAACACGGAGGATTTTTAGGGCAGTGAAACGACTCTGTATATTATTGCACTGGTGGATACGTGTCATCATATACTTGTCAAGACTCATAGAATGCACAGTACCAAGAGTGAACCCCAATGTGAACTACGGACTTTGGGTGATAATGACTATCTGTGCAGGTTCGTTGATTGTTCGTAAGAATGTGCCACTGTGGGGCACTCTATGTGTTGATATGGGGGAGTCTGAGGGGGAGGGGTGGGGAGGAGGCATCTGGGAACATTGCTTTCTGCTCAGTTTTGCCCAAACAGTGCTAAACAAATTGAGTCTATATAAAAAAAAGTTAATTGGAAAAACAAAACAACATTTCAGAAACATGGTGGATTTTCCGCTGTGAGATGTTACTTGAGAAAAAAGGATTTAAAAATTCACAACTAATGTTTATAACAAAACGTATCTTTCACTACAAAATTCTGAAAGTTGTGTCATTGCTAAAGACGAGCTTCAACTGTCAAGGCTGGGTAGAACAGCAGTTACCATTTTATGGTCCCTGGAACACTAGTTCTGCAGGATGTTAACAGGCCTTGCTTGAAGGAAAGTGGGAAATCCAGGTGTCATTTTTTCTGTTTTTGTCTTTTTCCTTTCTTGAAGAACTGCTCAGGGCCTTCCAGAGGTTACTGTTCATTGTAAATCCCTATGGGGGTTTATTGCAGGCAGCATTTCCCAAATTTCTGTGACCATAGAACCCTTTCTTTTTAATTAAAAAAAAAAAAATTAGGACTGGGTGCAGTGGCTCACGCCTGTAATCCCAGCACTTTGGGAGCCCAAGGCGGACGGATCACGAGGTCAGGAGATCGAGACCATCCTGGCCAACATGGTGAAACCCCGTCTCTACTAAAAAAAATACAAAAAATTAGCTGGGCGTGGTGGCACGCGCCTGTAGTCCCAGCTACTCTGGAGACTGAGGCAGGAGAATCACTTGAACCCGGGAGGCAGAGGTTGCAGTGAGCCGAGATTGTGCCACTGCACTCCAACCTGGTGACAGAGTGCGACTCCATCAAAAAAAAAAAAAAAAAAAGGTAGATTCAAGGGGTATATGTCCAGATTTGTTACATGGATATACTCATAATGCCGAGGTTTGGGCTCCTATTGAACCTGTCTCCCAAACTGTGGACACAGGGCCCCCAGGAAGTGGTT
Source organism: Homo sapiens (assembly GCF_000001405.40). Classification (NCBI taxonomy): domain Eukaryota; kingdom Metazoa; phylum Chordata; class Mammalia; order Primates; family Hominidae; genus Homo; species Homo sapiens. The sequence continues at coordinate 244,900,553 of NC_000001.11, read as the reverse complement.
TTTAACCCCGTCTGCCTCCCCACTCCCTCTTTCTGGAGTGCCCAGTGTCCATTGTTTCCATCTTTATGTCTGTACAGACCCAGTGTTTAGCTCCCACTTACAAGTGAAAACATGTGGTATTGATTTTCTGGTAGAACTCTTCTCTCTGTGTCTTTTTTTTTTTTTGGTAGAGATGGGGGACTCCTTATTTTCCCTGGGCTGGTCTCGAACTCCTGGGGTCAAGTGATCCTCCTGCCTCAGCCTCCCAAAGTGCTGGGTTTGCAGGTGTGAGCCACTGTGCCGGGCCCATGAACGCTTTTCTTAAGGAACATCTCAAAGGGCTATTTTGGACACATGATGTTGAAGATACAAGAGGGTCATCCTCGCGGGTTAATACCGTGGTCTTCATGGCTCAGGCCTTCCCTGTCGCCATGTTTCCTGATTTGTAGGTCTCCTTGCTTGCTTATTTTGGTTGCTGCCCTCAGTGTTCTCAATACTGTTATCTCCAAATCTTGCCCCATTCCCCCAGAACTCTGAGTGCAATGCCCACTGTGGGGTACCCCCAGCAGAGTGGATGGCATGTTCCTCAGCAATTTCCTCACAGTGTGGCCGAGGGAGCCTCCCCCAGGGGCGATTCTGGCCCCAGGCCTCATTCGTGTGTGGCTAGTCCTGGCTGAGTCAAGCTTCCGGCAAGCTTGCAACCTTGTGGGCTCTGATCAGGCCTAGCTGCCTCTAAGAAAGAAAGGTGTTGAATTTCATTCTCTTCTCATTCTGAAGGAAATTCAAGTCCTTTTAAAGAGTATAGGGTACATTTTCCAGGTAAGCTTCACTAGGCCTGTCTGCTGATGCTCCCCAGCCCCTCTTGCCTACATACAGGGGAGTTCCTGTGTTTTCGTGAGTGGGTGAGCCTGTGCTATTCTGGTTTTTCTCTCCTGGCTGCCAACAGAGCAGGTGTTTTTCATGCAACACAAGAGCTGCCAGGATCCATGCTGCCTCTCCTTTTGTGCTTAACACTTGTGTCTGGGCTGTCTGGTGCTGCCAGAACTGGAGTTTTATTTCTCTATCCTTCTTCTCCCATTGCATGAAAAGATGAAGCAAGCTGTCAGACAGATCCAAAATGTTCTCCTTTGTCTTTTTTTTTTTTTTTTTTTTTTTTTGAGATGGAGTCTCGCTCTGTTGCCCAGGCTGGAGTGCAGTGGTGCAATCTCAGCTCACTGCAACCTCTGCCTCCCGGGTTCAAGCAATTCTCCTGTCTCAGCCTCCTGAGTAGCTGGGATTACAGGTGCCCACCACCACGCCCAGCTGATTTTTGTATTTTCAGTAGAGATGGAGTTTCACCATATTGGTCAGGCTGGTCTCAAACTCCTGACCTCAGGTGATCCACCTGCCTTGGCCTCCCAAAGTGTTGGGATGACAGATGTGAGCCACCAAGCCCAGCCTCCTTTGTCTTTATAAGGGAGAAAGAAGGCTGGGCACGGCGGCTCACGCCTGTCATCCCAGCACTTTGGGAGGCCGAAGCAGGCGGATTGCCTGAGGTGCAGAGTTTGAGACCAGCCTGACCAACATAGAGAAACCCCGTCTCTACTAAAAATACAAAATTAGCCAGGCATGGTGGAGCATGCCTGTAATCCCAGCTACTCTGGAGGCTGAGGCAGGAGAATGGCTTGAACCCGGGAGGCGGAGGTTGCCGTGACCTGAGATCGCACCACTGCACTCCAGCCTGGGCAACAAGAGGGAAACTCTGTCTCAAAAAAAAAAAGGAGAAAGAATTTCCAATTTTTGTTTTCTTAACATTTCAAGTGGAATATCTGGTCATCCCCTTTAGAAGCATTTTCCCAAAAAAACGGGATACTATTTGAATGCGGTTGTCTGCAGTGTTTCGAATCATTAAATATTGAGGAGCTACTGTATTCCAGGCACTCTACTAGGTGCTGGGGATAAAGAGATGAGTAAGACATAACCCATAACCAGAGGGTGCAACCAACAAGAAATAAACAATTTCCACAGAGTGGGCAGTGGTGTAAGAGTTCTGTGCACAGGGCCTGTGGAGCACAGGGGCAAGTAGCGCACTTACCTGGGGGTTTTGTGGGTGAGCGGAGCAGAAAGAATTTTTTTTTTTTTTTAGAGATGGGGTCTTGCTATGTTTCCCAGGCTGGTCTTGAACTCCTGGACCCTAAATGATCCTCCCACCTCAATCTCCCAAGTAGCTTAGACTACAGGAATACATGACTGCACCCAGCTTTTAAGAGACTTTTGCTGGAAATTCTAGCATAGTACATTTCATTTAGCCTACCATTCAGTATGGCATTTTCAACTTCTTTTGTATAACACATACAATTGTGAGCGTTTTAGTCATTTTCATCTTGTTTGGGACCTTAAAGATTATTGCTAGATGGACAGCTGCCAGCACTGAAGTGCTCGTTTTGTCAAAAGTAGCAAGAGAAAAGTCACAGCAGAAAAAAATCTCTCGAGGTGTCTTAGGGATCAAATGATAGTAAATCACACGTGGATGACATTTTAGAGCTTGCAAAGCACTTGCATATATTGTCCAAGTTGATACTGATGATAATCTTACCAAGTAGGTAGGGAGATTGCTGATTAAACACAGCAGAGTCAACACAATGTTTGTCTCCATGGCTTCCTGGGGTCTACTAAAATGACAGAAAAGAAATAAAATGAGTCTAAACCCATAGCATCAAAGAGAACAGAAGAGAATATTACAGTGAATGACAGCAGTATATTTTGAGACTACGGAAGTCATAAGAAGCGAGTAACTCACATAGCAGGGAAGCGGCACCAGATCAGAGGAGGATGCTGATGTACACAAAAAACCGTTAAAGGCTCGGACTGCGAGAGACAGGTTCTGCCAAGTGGGGCTGGAAACAGGGAAACTGGTTCCAAACCTGTGGAAGAGTTCCCATCATGTTCCCTCCACCTCTCCACATAGCCAGGTGAACACTCCTCCCCTCCACCCTGCCCCCGCCCTGCCGGCACGAGTCCAGAAGCTAATTTTTGGGGAAATGGAACTGCAGGGGTCCAGATTCGGGAACAGCTGACATTCTGGAAGGCAGGGACGAGGCACTGGGCTGAAAGCAAGAGGGGCTACATGAAATGCAGCCAGGCCCTATCCCTGCTTGTCCTCAGAGTGTATGGTAGCCCCACCCCTGTTCTCAGGTAGAAGAATGAGTTTTTCTTGGAAAAACTGTTCCGTTAAAATATTAAATAGCTGGGCCACGCGTGGTGGCTGACGCCTGTAATCCCAGCATTTTGCGAGGCCAAAGTGGGAGGATTGAGTGAGGCCAAGAGATGGAGGCTGCAGTGAGAGCCTAGGTGACAGAGTGAGACACTGTCTCTAAAATAAATAAATAAATAAATAAATAAATACCCGGGCGCGGTGGCTCATGCCTGTAATCCCAACACTTTGGGAGGCCGAGGTGGGAAGATCATTTAAGGTCAGGAGTTCGAGACTAGCCTAGCCAACATGGTGAAACCCCGCCTCTACTAAAAATACAAATAATTAGCTGGGTGTGGTGACCAACGCCTGTAATCCCAGCTACTCGGGAGGCTGAGGCAGGAGAATTGCTTGAACCAGGGAAGTAGAGGTTGCAGTGAACTGAGATCGCACCATTGCACTCCAGCCTGGTGACAGAGTGAGATTCCGTCAAAAAAAAAGAAAAAAGAAAGAAAGAAAGAAAGGAAAGAAAAAGAAAATAACTCTCTGAACAGGCATGACCCTATCACCCTGGAGTGAAGTTCAACATTACCAAGCCTTGCTCATGTTTCCTCTCAGCTTTGTAGTGAGTCACTGTTTAATGTGAATGGTCCTACAAGGATTGCTGGGCATTCCATGATCCCGTATGAAAGACAAGGACTAAAATAAACAAACGAATGATGGGGAAAATTTTGAAGAAAAAGGCAATGCAGGACATGGACAAACACTTCCAGAAATAGATGAAATTGCTGTTCTCAGAGAGAGAGATAAGATAAAGTGACAGCAAATTTTATGGGAAATGAGGCAATTTCCCATAATATAGAAATAAATGGACGACAAGCAAGAAAATAATTTAAAATAAAGGATTATCCAGATAGTCTAATAGCCAACTAATAGGAATTAATTAATTAATTAATTTTTTGAGATAGAGTTTCACTCTTGTTGCCCCAGGCTGGAGTGCAATGGCGCGATCTCGGCTCACTGCAACCTCTGCCTCCCGGGTTCAAGCAATTCTCCTGACTCAGCCTCCTGAGTAGCTGGGACTACAGGCACCCACCACCATACCTGGCTAATTTTGTATTTTTAATAGAGAAAGGGTTTTACCATGTTGGCCAGGCTGGTCTTGAACTCCTGACCTCAGGTAATCTGCCCTCCTCTGCCTCCCAGAGTGCTGGGATTACAGGCATGAGCCACCACACCCGGCCAGGAATTTAATAAGTAGAATATAGAGAAGAGAAAATTACCAAAGAAAAAAAAACTCAGGAGAGTGGGCCTCTAGATTCAAAGGGCCTATCCAGAAAAATTAATGAAAAGATCTACACTAAGTCATATCTTCATAATATTTCAGAAGAGGCCGGGCACGGTGGTTCACACCTGTAATCCGAGCACTTTGGGAGGCTATGGTGGGAGGATCACTTGAGCCCAGGAGTTCCAGAGCAGCTTGGGCAAGATGTTGAGACCTCATCTATACAAAAAATCAAAAAGTTAGTCCAGTGTGGTGGTGCAGGCCAGTGGTCCCACCTTCTCAGGAGCCTGAGGCGGAGGATTGCTTGAGCCTGGGAGGTGGAGGTTCCAGTGAGCTATGATCGTGCCACTGCACTCCAGTCTGGGTGGCAGAGTGAGACCCTGTCTCAAAAACAAACAACAAAAAAAATTCGGAACACTGGAGATGAAGAGAAAACATTAATCCATAGAAGGCAAAAAATAAATATTACACATAAAGATTCTGGAATCAGAATGGCAGTGGAACTCTCAAGAACAGCATTGGAAACTGGCAGACAACAAAACAATGCTTTCAATATTTTGAGGAAAAAATAATTTTTTGAATTAGAATTCTCTGCCTCACCAGACCATTAATCAAATGAGAGAGTAAAATAAAGACATTTTCACCTCCTGGCCAGGCATGGTGGCTCACGCCTGTAATCCCAGCACTTGGGGAGGCCGAGGTGGGCGGATCACGAGGTCAGGAGTTCGAGACGAGCCTGACCAACATGCTGAAACCCCGTCTCTACTAAAAACAAAAAACATTAGCCGGGCATGGTGGCACGCACCTGTAATCCCAGCTACTCAGGAGGCTGAGGCAGGAGAATTGCTTGAACCCAAGAAGTGGAGGTTGCAGTGAGCAGAGTTGGAGCCACTGCACTCCAGCCTGGGTGACAGAGGGAGACCCCATCTCAAAAAAAAAAAAAAAAGACATTTTCACTTCCTGGGCACCTTCTTCCAGAGCCACCAGAGGCTACACTCCACCAGAATGAGGGGATAACCCACTGAAGAGTAGGACCACAGTCAGGACAAAGGGATCTGACCCAGGAGAAAGGTGAAAGGGGCCTCCAGACGGCAGCTACACCCAGAGAGAGCCAGTCCAGAAAGGAACTGGGGCCCTGAAGTCCAGGGGAAAATGGACACTGATAGCTACATTATTTCATGTGTGTTTGACCACGTAGAAAATCTTATGCGGGGGTTTTGCAATTCAGTTGGAGAATGTGGAAAGAAATAGTAATAATGACATGGGAAATTGAGCAAATGGGAAATTAAATAGTATAAGAAAGAGAATGTAATGCGAATGCATTACTTAGCTCAACAGTGAACAACACTCACATAGAAATAATAGGGTCAATAATAAATATTGGCTTAACCAATATCTTGATATAATTATGTTTGCAGGGTTGAGGAAGTAGAAGTGGCAGGCTGGGATAATATGAGAGTAGAGGCCGGGCGCGGTGGCTCACACCTGTAATCTCAGCACTTTGGGAGGCCGAGGCGGGTGGATCACCTGAGGTCAGGAGTTTGACACCAGCCTGGCCAACATAGTGAAACTTCGTCTCTCCTAAAAATATAAAAAATTAGCTGGGCATGGTGGCGGGCGCCTGTAATCCCAGCTACTCAGGAGGCTAAAGCAGGAGAATCGCTTGAACCTGGGAGGCGGAGGTTGCAGTGAGCCAAGATTGTGCCATTGCACTCCAGCCTGGGCGACAAGAGTGAAACTGCGTCTCAAAAAAAAAAAAGAAAGAGAAAGAGAGTAGAATACCTTCATCCTGGCTGGCGTGGTGGCTCATGCCTATAATCCCAGCAATTTGAGAGGCTGAGGCAGGTGGATTCCTTGGGTTCAGGAGTTCAGAGATCAGCCTGAGCAACAGGGCTAAACCCTGTCTGCAAAAAAATAAAAAAGAAAAAAAAATAGCCAGGCATGGTGGTGTGTGTCTGTAGTCCCAGCTACTAAGGAGGCTGAGATGGGAGGATCGCTTGAGCCCGGGAAGTTGAGGCTGCAGGGAAGCATGGTCGTGCCACTGCGCTCCAGCTTGTGTGACAGAGTGAGACACTGTCTCAAAATAAATACGTAGAGAGATGTAGCTATCTCCTATTGGTTGTGTTTCTTTGGAGAACCCTGATGAATACAGCATCACTTCCGCCATGCTCTATCGGTCAAAGCAGTCACCAAGATCCACCCAGGTTAGAGGGGAGGAAACACAGAGCCCCCTACTCCATTCTGTGGGAGAAATGTCATGGTCTCATTGGAAGAAAAGCATTGTGAGCTGGGAGATATTGTAGCCATCTTTGGAAAATACAATCTGTCACAGGCAGGGAACTGCTGTTTTTTGTAATAAACCTTATAGTACTATCTCACTATTTAAACAGTGTATGTGTATCATTTTTATAAAATGATAAAAAAATCTTAAATACAAGTTTAGTGCATATAGAAGCTATTCTTATGATCCTTTGGCAAAAGAGGAGAATGCTGTCAGAGAGGTTAAGAGAATGTTTGAGTTAGGGCTGGGATTTGAATCAGATCCATTGATCTTCATTCAGAGCTCTTTTCTTTATTACTAACCAGAAGACCAAGGGGAGTCACTGTCATTTACATTAATGACCACAGCCTATCTCAATTATAATAGTTAACAAGTGGGCTGGCTCTCCAACCTCAGCATGCTAGCTTTACCTGTTAGCCTGAATATTAATATGAACTTTGAATGCAAATGATCAATCTCAACTAACCAAGATCAAAGCAGACACTGTTGCTGTCTAATATGATGCTTCGTGTGTCTGAAAATGGAATTTGTATTTTTAGACAGCAGATCCTGGAATTGGAGTTGCACTTAGCATCCTTCAGGGTGATTCTGCCTTAGGCTTGGAATTTTTTTTTTTTTTGAGACGGAGTCTTGCTCTGTCGCCCAGGCTGGAGTGCAGTGGCACGATCCTGGCTCACTGCAAGCTCCGCCTCCCGGGTTCATGCCATTCTCCTCCCTCAGCCTCCCGAGTAGCTGGGACTACAGGCGCCCGCCACCACGCCCGGCTAATTTTTTGTATTTTTAGTAGAGACGGGGTTTCACTGTGTTAGCCAGGATGGTCTTGATCTCCTGACCTCGTGATCCGCCCGCCTCGGCCTCCCAAAGTGCTGGGATTACAGGCATGAGTCACCGTGCCCGGCCCAGCCAGGCTTGGAATTTTTAATGTCCACTTAAAACACACACACACACACACATATACACACCCACCCACACACACACACAAACACACACACACTCCAAACTAAAATAAAACAAAAATGAAAACAGAAGTCTTTCAAATAAGGCTCTGCCTAGATCAGGAATGCTACCCTTGCCTACTCTCAACATACACAGGCACAAACCACCAAGTTTCCCAGGAGAGGACACTGAACTTGGGCCTGTGATAGCTCAAGGCATGAGCCACTGGTCTTCAAATCCATCCCCATTGCCAGCACATCGCATCACTCTGCCACTGACTCACTCCTTCCGAGGAGCTACCGCTATTCCCAGACCACAGCCGAGGACTAGGACACAGATTCTGGGTGGTCAGGTATATTGGTCAAGTTTGAACCTGGTCCATGAAGCAAGAATGCCTCATGCAAAAAAACATAAACTGCAAATAGAAACAGGAGGAAGAAGAGGAAGAGCCTCCCCACATTACATACTTGAAATGTTTAATGAAAGGTGTTCCTGCTGGCTTCGTTGAAAATGATCTTTACAACTTTCTAATTGGACAGATAATGCACCTGAGAATCTGGACTCAAGTTATGTGACCATTAGTGGAATCTACATAACTGTGCCTAGCAGGAGTTGAGTAATTCTAAAACTTACTTTTGGCCGGGCGCGGTGGCTCATACCTATAATCCCAGCACTTTGGGAGGCCGAGGTGGGCGGATCACCTGAGATCAGCAGTTCGAGGTCAGCAGTTCAAGGCCAGCCTGGCCAACATGGCGAAACCCCATCTCTACTAAAAATACAAAAATTAGCTGGGCATGGTGGTACACACCTGTAATCCCAGTTACTGAGGAGGCTGAGGCAGGAGAATCACTTGAACCCGGGAGACAGAGGCTGCAGTGAGCTGAGGTTACACCACTGCACTCAAGCCTGGGTGAGAGTGAGACACCATCTCAAAAAAAATAATAATATTAATAACATTAAAGTTACTTTTTTTTTTTTTTGAGACAGAGTCTCGCTCTGTCGCCCAGGCTGGAGGGCAGTGGCGCTATCTCAGCTCACTGCAAACTCCGCCTCCCAGGTTCACGCCATTCTCCTGCCTCAGCCTCCCGAGTAGCTGGGACTACAGGCGCCCACCACCTTGCCCAGCTAATTTTTTGTATTTTTTAGTAGAGATGGGGTTTCACCACGTTAGCCAGGATGGTCTTGATCTCCAGACCTCGTGATCCGCCCGCCTCGGCCTCCCAAAGTGCTGGGATTACAGGCATGAGCCACCGTGCCCGGCCTAAAGTTACTTATTTAAAAATGCAGGGCATAGAGGGAAGAAAGGGGAAGCAAGAGTGGAACACGATCTCTCAGAAATTCCATTGCAAGGCCGGGCATGGTGGCTCACACCTGTAATCCCAGCATTTTGAGAGGCTGAGGCAGGTGGATCACTTGAGGTCAGGAGTTTGAGACCAGCCTAGGCAACAGGGCGAAATCTTGTCTCTACTAAAAATACAAAAATTAGCTGGGTGTGGTGGCAGGTGCCTGTAATCCCAGCTACTCAGGAGGCTGAGGCAGGAGAATCACTTGAACCTGGGAGACAGAGGTTGCAGTGAGCTGAGATCGCGCCACTGCACTCCAGCCTCGGCGACAGAGCAAGATTCTGTCTCAAAAAAAAAAAAAAAAAAAAGAAAAAAAATTCCATTGCAAATATAAGGGCTCAGGATAGTTTTCAAAAGAATCCAAGTCCGAAACGTCAGAAAGAAGGGGAAAAATTTTTTGGCAGTGCTGGGCAAGCTGAGTTGGTGGTGAGGCTGTGGCAGGTGGAGGGGTTATAACCAAAGAACAAGGGATGGGTGTGTGAGGGACCATAGGAAAAGACGGAATTCCTTTTGAGCCCAAATTAGGGCTGCAGGGTAGAACTCAGCCTTGAGATAGGAAAATGGAAATGTAGTACCCAAATAGGAGGATCGTAACAGGGGCTTGAAGATGCACCTAGAAGAGATTTGTTAGAACTCTGTGTATGCGCAAAGCTGAGTTAGGAGGTGATATCCTCACTATTCATTATGGGCTGAATTATGTCTCTCCAAAATTCATATATTGACATCCCAACACCAAGAACCTAAGAATGTGACTCTATTTGGAGATAGTGCCTTTAAAGAAGTAATTTTTTTTTTTGAGACGGAGTCTCACTCTGTCGCTCAGACTGGAGTGCAGTGGCACGATCTTGGCTCACTGTAACCTCTGCCTCCTGGGTTCAAGTGATTCTCCTGTCTCAGCCTCCTGAGTAGCTGAGATTACAGGTGAGCGCCACCACACCCGGCTAATTTTTTTATTTTTGGTAGGGACGGGGTTTCACCATGTTGACCTGGCTGATGTCAAACTCCTGGCCTGAAGCGATCTGCCTGCCTTGGCCTTCCAAAGTGCTGGGATTACAGGCATGAGCCACTGTGCCCGGCTCCTTCATGCATTTATCATCCACGTTTTGATGTTAGGTCTAGCAAGACCGTTCAAATGCATAGGTTGATACAAATTTTTGATGAGATTTATTAAAATAAAAGATGCAGATAAAAAATGCACTCCTGATTGATTTATTTATTTTGCTCAAGTATGGAAAAGAGAGTTCTCTTGGCCACTAAAGCCCTAATTAAAAAATAAAGCACATTGTGATTGGAGAGCCATACTCTATATACATAATAAATGAGGCCTTAGACGGGCACACAGGTGGAGCTGACTGACTGGCAGGCAGGGCATATTCTTTGTGGCTTCTTTGGCCCTGAGGAAGCACATTTTTTAAAACCAAAAAAATAGATAACCAACTATAATAAAGTGACATGGAAAACTAACTTTATAAATATAATACTCTAAGAGGCCAGAATGGGGAAAATGGCAGCAGAGAAATGTGTCCTCATAGATTTGAACTGGGTCATCCGCAAAGCTTTGGCGATTGCTCTGAAGACTTCAGATTTTATTCTGGAAGCATGTTGAGGCATCAGAAGTGCCAAGAGCTGGGCGTGGAGGCTCAGACGTGTAATCCTAGCACTTTGGGAGAATGGTTTGAGGTTAAGAGTTCAAGATCAGCCTGGGCGACATAGCAAGGTGCCCCCATCCCCAATCTCTTAAAAAAAACAAAGTGCCTGGCCAGGCGTGGTGGCTCGCGCCTGTAATCCCAGCACTTCGGGAGGCTGAGGCGGGTGGATCACAAGGTCAGGAGTTCAAGGCCAGCCTGGCCAATATTGTGAAACCCCGTCTCTACTAAAAATACAAAAATTAGCCGGGCATGGTGATGTGTGCCTGTAATCCCAGCTACTTCGGAGGCTGAGGTAAGAGAATCGCTTGAGCCCGGGAGGTGGAGGTTGCAGTGAGCCGAGATCGCGCCACTGTACTCCAGTGTGGGCGACTAGAGCAAGACTCCAACTCCCCCAACCCCCCAAAAAAAGTGCCAAGAGGTAATCATATTGGTAGTTTATTAACTTAACTCTGAAAGCCAGAAGGAAGAGGATGTAGCACAGATAGGGGCCCAGAAGTAGGAATAATTCAAAATAGAGATAAATAGGAACTGAATGAGGGCAAGAGCCATGAAAATTGGGGAAACATATGGATTTTTTCAGAGATATTCAAAGATAGAAGCAAGAGGACTAGGTGGCATTAAATTTAATGACATTAAAGACCATTAAATTAAAGGTCTAGGCCAGTGCAGTGGCTCATACCTTTAATCCCAGCACTTTGGGAGGCTGAGGCAGGTGGATCACCTGAGGTCAGAAGTTTAAGACCAGCCTGACCAACAAGGTGAAACCCTGTCTCTACTAAAAATACAAAAATTAGCTGGGCACGCTGGTGCATGCCTATAATCCCAGCTCCACCGGAGGCTGATGTGGGAGAATCGCTTGAACCTGGGAGGTGGAGGTTGCAGTGAGCTGAGATTGTGCCATTGCACTCCAGACTGGGCAACAGAGCAAGATTCTGTCTCAAAATAAAATAAAATAAAATAAATAAAAGAAAAAAGAAAAGTCTAGGGAAACAGTAAAGTCAAGGCTTCTGGCTTACATAATATATTAGTTTTCTATTGCTACTGGGACAAATTATCACAAATCTAGTGTCTTAACATAAATTTATTATCTAACAATTGTGGTGGTCAGAAGTCTGAGAGGGGTCTCACTGGGCTAAAATTAAGGTGTTGCAGGGCTGTGTTTCTTTCTAGGGGCTCTCAGAAGGAATCTGTCTTCCTGCTTTTTCCATTTTCTAGCAGCTATCCACATTCCTTGGCTTGTGGCCCCCTTCCTCCATGTTCAAAGCCAGCAATGGCCGACTGAGTCCTTTTCCTTCTGCATCTCTGACCCTTCTTTCATGGTCACCTCTCTATCTGATCACAGCCAGAAAAGGTTCTCCACTTTTAAGGACTCACGTTGACAGACTAGGCCCAGCTGGATAATCCAGGAGAATCACCACATCTCAAGGTTTGTAACCATAATCACATGTGCAAAGTCCCTTTTGCAGGAATTAGGACATGGACATCTCAGGGGTCATTATTCAGCCTAGTGAATAGCCTATCAAAGAGCCCAGTTTTTCTAACTGACCCATTATCGGGTCGTGAAATCAATTTAATAATGCACCACCATTTTTAAAAGGGGAATAGAAATTAAGACAGTACAATGTATTAGTAAGAGTATTCATGTTTTGTGAAACTTCAATCTAGTTTTTTTATGTGTGTATGTAGTCGATTGTGATGTAAATATATTTCTTTCTTTTTTTTTTTTTTTTTTTTGAGACAGAGTCTTGCTCTATTGCCAGGCTGCAGTGCAGTGGCACGATCTCGGCTCACTGCAACCTCTGCCTCCCAGGTTCAAATGATTCTCCTGCCTCAGCCTCCCAAGTAGCTGGGACTACAGGCACATGCCACCACGCCCAGCTAACTTTTGTATTTTTAGTAGAGACGGGGTTTCACTATGTTGGCCAGGATGGTCTCAATCTCTTGATCTTGTGATCCGCCGGCCTCAGCCTCCCCAAGTGCTGGGATTACAGGCATGAGCCACCGTGCATGGCCAAAATATATTTCTTACTGGAAGTCACGGGCAAAAATGTTTGAAAGCTATTGACTTAGACGACAGGATGATGAGTGTGTTAAGCAAAATAGGACATAATACTAATAGATAACGTTTACGGAATGTTTGTATGAGCCAGCTGGGCCTAGTGTTCTAAGGGCTTCACTGGCATTAACCACGTAATCTTCCCAATAATCCAATAAGGTAGATACTGTCAATATCTCCACGTCGTAAATGAGGAAATGGAGAGAGAATGATTGTCTTGCTGAAAGTCACACAGCTAGAAAATTGTACGGCTGGAATTCAATCCCAGACAGTTCAGCTCCTCATTCCCAAACCTGTGTGCTTGACACCACTCTGCTGTGTCTAGGAGCACCCAAGACCTGAGGAGGAAGGCAATCCTGCCTCTCCGGTTTGTCCAGCTACCCTGAGAACCTTTGCCCATGCATAGTATCCTGTTTAAAATAGGAAATACTGGCTGGGTGCAGTGGCTCATGCCTGTAATTCCAGCACTTTGGGAGGCTGAGGTGAGAGAGGATTGCTTGAGGCCAGGAGTTGGAGACCAGCCTGGGCAACATAACAAGACTCTGTCTCTATTGAAAACAAAAAAAAAGAAAGAAAAGAAAAGAAAAGAGGCCGGGCGTGGTGGCTCACGCCTGTAATCCCAGCACTTTGGGGGCAGGGGCAGGTGAATCACTTGAGGTCAGGAGCTCGAGACGAGCCTAACCAACATGGAGAAACCCTGTCTCTACTAAAAATACAAAAATTAGCTGGGCATGGTGGCGCGTGCCTGTAGTCCCAGCTACTCAGGAGGGTGAGGCAGGAGAATCACTTGAACCTGGGAGGTGGAGGTTGCAGTGAGCCGACATCGCACCACTGCAGTCCAGCCTAGGTGACAGAGTTAGACTTTGTCTCCAGATAAAAATAAAAAAAAAAGAAAAGAAAAGAAAAAAAGGGAAAAAGGAAATACCAATACTGCAGAGCAGAAAACAAACTTCTTCCATAACTCTGGTGTGTGTTGGAGAAGAGGAAGACTCAGTCCAGAGTCTACAGTGAGCTTCCCTCTACAGGCAAAGACTGAACTTCAGCCGAGAAGTTGAGCATAAGTGTAACACTCACCATTAAAACTAATATGTATGAAATTACTATTGTTCCCCAAAGGTCCTTAGTAATAAAGGACTTAGTAATAGGAAAACTTTCTTGGAAGAGATACATGCAATATGTCACATATCACAGATACACATATACAAACTATGTTTCAATGGAAGGTATTCTACTTATTATCATAGTAACTGTATTAATCCATTTTCATACTGCTATGAAGAAATACCTGAGACTGGGTCATTTATAAAGAAAAAGAGGTTTAATGGACTCACAGTTCCACACGGCTGGGGAGGCTTCCCAATCATGGCGGAGGGCGAAGAAGCAGCAAAGTCACATTTTACATGGCGCAGGCAAGAGAGCATCTGCCCGGGAACTACCCTTTATAAAACTATCAGATCTCATGAGATTTATTCACTATCATGAGAACAGCACGGGAAAGACCCGCCCCCATGAGTCAATTACCTCCCTTTAGGTCTCTCCCATTACACGTGGGGATTATGGGCGCTACACTTGAAGATGAGATTTGAGTGGGGACACAGCCAAACCATATCGGTAACCAAAGAAAAAGTAAGTGATTAACCACCGTGCTCTCTGCTATGAAAATGGGAGAAAAGGTGCTGACCCTTTTCCCTTGAACTAAGCATAGAAATAAAATAGATGAAATTATTTTTCTTTCTGGTCAACTTTGTCCCAAATCATTAACCTCACAAAACACTTAGGAAACTTTATTTCTTGATCCACACATCAAGGTAATAATACCTTCCTCGGAATTGTGAGAATTTGATGAGGCTAGTATACCAAAATTAATTTGTAAACTATAGGGTGCTAAGATGTGAGATAACTATATTTGTAATGTAATTTACTTATCAAACATTGATACAATGCCAGGAACTTGGTATCGTTTTAAGTGCTTTGCGAATATTAATTTATTTAATGCTCACAAAAACTCTATGGTATATCTTGTTGTTTTCATTTTTTGAATGAGGAGAAAACTGAGGCATAGACAGGCTAGGAAACTTGCCTGAGTTCACAAAGCTAGTAAGTAAAAGAAAAAGGTTTCTTCCTCTGGCAGCCCAGCGCCAGAGTCTGGTACTAACTGGGATTACAGGCATCTGCCACCATACCCAGTTATTATTATTATTATTTTTGGTATTTTTAGTAGAAACTGGGTTTCACCATGTTGGCCAGGCTGATCTTGAACTCCTGACCTCAGGTGATCTGCCCACCTTCGGCCTCGAAAAGTGCTGGGATTATAAGTGTGAGCCACCCCGCCCGGCCAAGTCTGTGCTCTTAACTGCTGTGCTGTGTCAAATCTACTAGGGATATTAGAATGAGACCTTTGCCTAGATGTCAAAGGCATCAGGCATATGGAAGCCAAATGAGACTCCCAGCTTCTTATGAAACTATTGTCTCCTCTCTACTTGTTTCTATTTTGTCTACGTCCATTTTGTGTCCTGTAACAGATATCGAGACTGGGTATAGTTTCTGGAGGCTGGGAAGTCCAACGTTGAAGGGCATCTGGTGAGGTCTGCATCTGGTGAGGTACTTCTTGCCACATTATCACAGAAGGGCAAGAGAGAATGAGAGAAAGAGAAGAGAGAAGAGAGGGGGCAGAGAGTGAGTGTGTGTGTGAGAGAGAGAGAAGACAGAGGCTGAACTCATCCTTTTAACGGAACCCAGTCCTGAGATCATAGCATTAATCCATTCATGAACGCAGATGACCTAATCACCTTTTAAAGTTCCCACCACTCAGCACTGTTGCTTTGGGGATTCTGCTTGCAACACATGAACTTTGGGGGTCATATTCAAACTATAGCCTTGTCTATCATTGAAAATCTGGGTTTAAAGGGGTCCTTCCTCCTGATAGTAGCTACCATATGACATCAGACCTTGAAAATAAGGAACATTATTTCCTTTTTTTCTTTCTTTCTTTTTCTCTCTCTCTCTTTTTTTTTTTTTTTTTTTTTTTGACAATCTTGCTCTATCGCCCAGGCTGGAGTGCAGCGGTACCATCTCAGCTCATTGTGACCTCCACCTCCCAGGTTCAAGCGATTCTCCTGCCTCAGCCTCCCCAGTAGCTGGAACTACAGGCCTGTGCCACCATGCCCAGATAATTTTTGTATTTTTAATAGAGATGAGGTTTCACTATGTTGGCCAGGCAGGTCTCGAACTCCTGACCTCAAGTGATCCACCCGCCTCAGCCTCCCAAAGTGCTGGGATTACAAGCGTGAGCCACCACACCTGCCCAGAAATATTATTTATCACTCTGATTAACCTCATACTTTTGGTGTTCCCTTCTTTTTATAATGCCTCCTAATTTTTTATTATACAGTATGTTGCTTATCTAAACTATACTTCCTTTCTTTATAAAAAGCCTGAAGTTGATTATAAGGGAAGAAACATGATCACCATTTAAACTACAGATAGTAGACAAGCAGTGTGCAATTCCTTTTTGAAACTGGATGAGTGATACTTGCTGTCAAGGATGCCCAGAAGGTTTTGCGACAGGTGGGCGATGGCTCTCAGGATTCTCAGGCATGTGACCTAATTGGCTTCTGCCAAACTGACCTTTACGCTAGTAATGTGCCTTCCACCTCCGAGTCAAATGTAACTGTTTAGGTATAAAATAGAAACATTTGCTGAGATGTCAGGGAATGAGAGCCAGAAATGGGCAGTTGAAAATAGTAACACAAGGGATAAAGAAATTGAAGAAGATGTGTTGATTCAGGCAACAGAAAGTCAGGAAGACGTGGCTGATAACATGAAGGCCGGGCGCGGTGGCTCACACCTGTAATACCAGCACTTTGGGAGGCCAAGGCGGGTGGATCACCTGAGGTCGGGAGTTTGAGACTAGCCTGGCCAACGTGGTGAAACCCTGTCTCCACTTAAAAAACTACAAAAATTAGCCAGGCGTGGTGGCACATGCCTGTAATCCCAGCTACTCAGGAGCCTGAGGCACGAGAATCGCTTGAACTCGGGAGGTGGTGGTTGCAGTGAGCCAAGATTGCACCACTGCACTCCAGCATGGGTGACAGAGCGAGACTCCATCTCAAAAAAAAAAAAAACAAAAAAAAAAAACAAATTAAAAAAAACACAAAAGTAAGGGGAAAGAGAAGAAAGGGTGAAAGTCAAAGAATCTTAATGGTAACAGGAAATGTTGTATTGTTTGTGGGAGCATTTTGTAATGGGGAAAGGCCTGAACAAATACTGAATTTTTGTCTGTGCACTATTTTCGATTTAGCAAATATTAAGCACATATTAAGTGCTGGCTGCTCGGGGTATAAAGATAAATAAGACCTGGCTATCTAGTTAAAACATGTTTTACACACGAAGGGCAATCGGATTTCAATTTTTAGTCTATTTTATATACTATTAAATAAGTCCAAGAGTGGACTTTATGTCTTACCAAGAGCAGGCACCCTATGAATGTTTATTGAATTGAAATATTAGAGTCGGATAGGAGCTGGTTCAAATTTATTTATACATTTATTTAGCACTTTTTTTTTTTGGAGTGCAATGGTGCTATCTCAGCTCACTGCAACCTCCGCCTCCCGGGTTCAAGCGATTCTCCTGCCTCAGCCTCCTGAGTAGCTGGGACTACAGGCACACACCACCACACCCAGCTAAGCTTTGTATTTTTAGTAGAGACGGGGTTTCACCGTGTTAGCCAGGATGGTCTCAATCTCCTGACCTCGTGATCTGCCCACCTCGGCCTCCCAAAGTGTTGGGATTACAGGCATGAGCCACTTTTTTATTATGGTGAAATACACATAATATGAAATTTGCCATTTGAACCATTTAAAAATTTTTTTAATTCTTTTTTTTTTTACACCAATCTCTTGTCCAATAGATATTTTAACCCGTTTTAGGTGTACAGTTCCATGGCATTAAAGACATTCACACTCTTCTGCAACTATCACCACCTTCCATCTCCAAAACTTTTTTTATCTTCCCAGATGGAAACTCTGTACCATTGCATAATAACTCCCCACTCCCCATTCAACCAATTTTTTTTTTTTTTTTTTTGAGACAGAGTTTCACTCTTGAAGCCCAGGCTGGAGTACAATCGCATGATCTTGGCTCACTGCAACCTCCGCCTCCCGGGTTCAAGCGATTCTCCTGCCTCAACCTCCCAAGTAGCTACAGGTGTGCACCACCATGCCTGGCTAATTTTTGTATTTTTAGTAGAAATGGGGGGGGGGTTTCACCAAGTTGGCCAGGTTGGTCTCGAACTCCTGACCTCAGGTGATCTGCCTGCCTTGGCCTTCCAAGGTGCTGGGATTACAGGCATGAGCCACTGTGCCCGGCCAACCAATTTTTATATAGTCCTTCATTCAACAAGTACTTATTGAGCACCTGCGATTCAGCACAGTCCTCACTGTGGGAGGTCTGGGTTATAGAATAAATGAGAGGGTACAATCTAGGGAGAAAGACAAACATAACCAATGGGTGCGGTGGCTCATGCCTGTAATCCCGGCACTTTGAGAGGCCAAGGCGGATGGATCGCTTGAGCCCAGGAGTTCAAAACCAGCCTTGGAAACATAGTGAGACCCCTGCTCTACAAAAACAATAACAAATATTAGCGGGCTGGGGAATGCCTGTAGTCCTAGCTACTTGGAAGGCTGATGTGGGAGGATCACCTGAGTCTGCGAGGTTGAGGCTGTGAGCTGTGATTGCGCCATGCAATCAACTGCACTCCAGCAGAGTGAGATCCTGTCTCAAACAAACAAACAAACAAACAAATGGTGAAGAGCTAATGTTTGCAGAATGCTCCCATGAGCAGGCCCTTTGCACTGATGCACTCCTTTGAGGTAGGTGTACGTTCCCAACAGTTCCCAGTATAACAAGCACGACGGAAAGGGAGCTGTGGGCTGTGACTGGGGAGGAAAGCTCAGTCTGGAGGACATTAGTTGGTCTGGGCCGTCAGGGTTATGCTGAGAGCTAAAGGCTGAGTCAGGGTTAGGAGGCCAAGAGTATTTCCATGGCAGGCAGGACACCAACGCAGGCTCTGGGAACAAGTGGGTCCCTTCATCCCTTCCCTGATGAAGCTCAGAGAAGCCTGGGATAAGGCTGGAGAGGTAGCAGGAGACACCTCCCTCCAGGAGGGCCCAGGGGAGGGTTCCTGCTCTACCTCCAGGGCCGTGGGAAGCCGCTGCAGAGCGTGAAGCAGAGCCTTTAAAAGATCAATCACTCTGCCCCTAGTTAACAAATGATTCATTTCTCTGCCATTCTTTATTATCATGTTGATGGCATGTACACTAACTTTGAACCACCTGTGATAGAAAAATCACTAGTAGTTACATTGTAAAATCTTTGGTTTTATGTCTGAAGTTCCTGTTCTGGGAATTCACATTTCTCTTAAGTAAATGATATAACCAGGCTGGGCGCAGTGGCTCACAGCTACAGCTGTAATCCTAGCACTTTGGGAGGTAGAGGCGGGAGGATCGCTTGAGCCCAGGAGTTTGAGACCACGACCACCACAACAGTATAACCAGATTCTGAAGATCTGACAAATGGAAAAAATTGGAAATTAGTCCCATTTTGCAGCCCACCAAACCTCCCCTGTGTTGGGAAGAAATCATAGCACTTCTCTGATAGATACAATGTATAAGCCTAAAATATAACTGGCCTTCCTCCCTCAACTTGTCAATTCAAGTCTTCCCTGGGGGAAGGGAGATAAATTCCTGCCGTTCCTTCTGGACTAAGTGTAAATTAAGATTCTGTTTACCAAGCGCTTAATTAGATTGCCTAGGCAATATTATCCATCATAACTTGAGAGAGAGTGTGCTTCAAGCTCGTTTGTTATAGAAGTGTGGGGCTGCCTGAGGAGGTGTGATAAAGTCCAAGTTTGGAAGTTCCGTTTCTGGAGTTCAAAATATAGATCCCTTAAGCACTTCCAAAGTGCACCCTGAGACTGCCCTGCTTTTTAGCTGATAGTGTCTTCATGTCAAATCATGGATCACTGAGGAGTCCCAGGTGACAGTGGGATGCACAGGTGTATCCCCATTACCAGAAGAAAAGCTGTCCCACTTGATGGGCAGTCAGTGACTTTATCTTCATATTTTAAAGCACTACACTCTTCTTCTTCTTTTTTTTTTTTTTTGAGATGGATCCTCGCTCTGTCACCCAGGCTGGAGTGCAGTGGCACCATCTCGGCTCACTGCAACCTCTGCCTCCCAGATTCAAGCAATTCTCCTGCATCAGCCTCTGAAGTAGCTGGGATTATAGGTGCGCACCATCACGTCCGGCTAATTTTTGTATTTTTAGTAGAGACAGGGGTTTCTCCAAATTGGCCAGGCTGGTCTCGAACTCCTGACCTCAGTGATCCGCCTGCCTCGGCCTCCCAAAGTGCTGGGATTACAGGCGTGAGCCACCACGCTTGGCAATAAAAGAACTTTCTAGGCCGGGCACAGTGGCTTGTGGCTGTAATCCCAGCGCTTTGGGAGGCTGAGGCAGGCGGATCACCTGAGGTCGGGAGTTCGAGACCAGCCTGACCAACTTGGAGAAACCCCGTCTCTACTAAAAATACAAAATTAGCCGGGTGTGGTGGCGGGCACCTGTAATCCCAGCTACTCGGGAGACTGAGGCAGGAGAATCGCTTGAACCTGGGAGGCGGAGGTTGCAGTGAGCCAAGATCGTGCCATTGCATTCCAGCCTGGGCAACAAGAGCGAAACTCTGTCTCAAAAACAAAAAACAAAAAAACTTCCTAAACCAGACATGGTGGTTCACACCTGTAATCCCAGCACTTTGGGAGGCCAAAGCAGGTGGATCTCATGAACCCAGGAGTTTGAGACCAGCAGCAAGGCAAAACCCCATCTCTACTTAAAAAATACAAAAAATCAGACAGACATGGTAGTGCGTGCCTGTAGTCTCAGCTACTTAGGAAGCCAAGGTGGGAGAATCACCCGAGCCCAGGAAGCCAAGGCTGCAGTGAGCCAAGATTGTGCCACTGCATTCCGGCCTGGGCGATGGGGGTGAGACCCTGACACAAACAAACAAACAAACAAACAAACAAAAACCAAAAAAATCTTCTGCCTCCCTTTTCTCCAAAAGTATATGTTTATAAGTAGGTAGTAATTACATAGCATTCACAGGTTAGAATTTTTACATATGTGATTCTTACACCCCCAGGGTAGACAGGACAGTGGTAATTATCATTTTACAGGTTAAAAGACTGAGACTGAGAGAAAGGAGCAACTTTGCCTGGCTGGTAAGGGGTATAGTTATTTACTAAGCAATGTCGGATCTACACAGGCTCATTCATTCCATATGTTTCATGTCCTGAGTGCTTACCCTCCAGGAAACGATAAGGATACAAAACAAACTAGACATCTAGCTTGAGCCCCCATTAGAAGGTCAATCAGTAGGAGAAATAGAAACAGAGAGAGAAAATAATGAAACCACAGGGCAAGAATAACTTTGGAGATTTTGGCCAGGCATGGTGGCTCATGCCTGTAATCTCAGTACTTTGGGAGGCCGAGGTGGGTGGATCACCTGAGGTTAGGAGTTCGAGACCAGCCTGGCTAAACTGGTGAAACCCCATCTCTACTAAAAATACAAAATTAGCTGGGTGTGGTGGCAGACGCCTGTAATCCCAGCTACTTGGGAGGCTGAGGCAGGAGAATCACTTGAACCCAGGAGGTGGAGGTTGTAGTGAGCCGAGACCATGTCATTGCACTCCAGCCTGGGCAAAAAGAGTGAAACTGTCTAAAAAAAAAAAAATTCTGAGATTTTAGGAGCTCAGAAAGGGCACACCTAATCCACTCAGGGGCGGTGAGGATGCGTGGGGGTAATTCGGAAAATCTTCCTAGAGGAGGTGACACCTAAACAAAATCTTTTTTTAGAAGTTTTTTTTTTAGTTTTTTTAGAGACAGGGTCTTGCTGTGTCACCCAGGCTAGAGAGCAATGATGTAATCAGAGCTCACTGCAGCCTCGAACTCCTGGGCTCAAGCAATCCTCCCGCTTTAGCCTCCTGAGTAGCTAAACTGAATATTAAAACAGAATAGAATAAGTAAGGCCTATCCTCATACAATCTCAGAATCACTGTGGGATCAGATAATGAGATATTTCTATGTTTAATAAAGGATAAATGGCCCATGGTGGCTCACACCTGTAACCTTGGCACTTCGGGAGGCAGAGGTGGGAGGATCACTTGAGGCCAGGAGCTCAAGACCAGTCTGGGCAATGTAGCAAGACCTTGTCTCTACAAAAAAAAAAAAAAAAAAAGTTAATTATCTGGGTGTGGTAGCTCACACCTCTAATCCCAGCTACTTGGGAAGCTGAGGCAGAAGGATGGCTTAAGCCTAGGAGTTCAAGGCTGCTGTGAACTATGATTGTGCCACTGCACTCCAGCCTGGGTGACAGAGCAAGACCCTGTCTCAAAATAATAATAATAATAATAATAATAAATTATACATATGACAATTAATTAACACATGATACAGCTGGGCAGTGACTCGGGGAGATGGTGAGTGGAGAATATGGCATCACTACTTCTTGCTTACAACCAAAAAAGTTGTAAAATTCTCTTTCTCTCTCTCCAGATCCACCTAATGAGACTGTGCCTTCCTTCCACACATCATCTCCTCTGGGACTAACGTTTCCCTTTGTGACTACACTCTGTTTCAGAACACTCCTTGGCGTTCCGTTCAATCTTATTTCAATGGTATAAAGATGCAGGGGAGAAGAAACAATTTCCTAAGCCTCACGTGTTGCTAAGGTTTGCTTTGGTTCTGTGACTTAATTCATGTGCCTTTTCATCTGAATCAGCCACTTTTTGGTTGAGGGGGATGAAAGGAACTGCTTCATGGTTCAATACCTTCATATACATTTGTCCAAAAAGCTGAAAAATCTGCACATTGTACATCCTTTTTCTTCTTAGTAAGCACGGTGCCCACAACCACAAAACATTCCCTTTCCTTTCTTTTTTTTTGAGACGGAGATTCGCTCTTGTTGCCCAGGCTGGAGTGCAATGGTGTGATCTCGGCTCACTGGAACCTCCGCCTCCCGGATTCAAGCAGTTCTCCTGCCTCAGCCTCCCGAGTAGCTGGGATTACAGACATGTGCCATCACACCTGGCTAATTTTGTATTTTTAGTAGAGATGGGGTTTCTCCATGTTGGTCAGGCTGGTCGTGAACTGCCGACCTCAGATAATATGCCTGCCTCGGCCTCCCAAAGTGCCGGGATTACAGGCATGAGCCACCGTGCTGGGCCTCCCTTTCCTTTCTAATGGCAGCACTGTTTAGAGAATTAACCCAAATGGTTATAGTTGCCAAGATTGGATGGTCATGTGAGGGTCCAAAACACCACTGGAATTTAAGAAAACCCTAGCAATCTTAAGTAATCTTTCTTCACAGCCCTCTTTACCCTTCTCAAGATTAATTGATCCATTTGACCTGAGTCAGAGTGGCCTTTAGTACTTCTCACCTGTTTTGTATTTTTGTTTTTTTTGAGACACAGTCTCACTCTGTCACCCAGGCTGGAGTGCAGTGGCGTGATCTCAGCTCACTACAACCTCTGCCTCCTGGGTTCAAGAGATTCTCCTGTCTCAGCCTCCCAAGTAGCTGGGATTACAGGTGTGTGCCACCACGCCTGGCTAATTTTTGTATTTTTAGTAGAGATGGGGTTTCACCATGTTGGCCAGGCTGGTCTCGAGGTCCCGACCTCAGGTGATCCGCCTGCTTTGGCGTTCCAAAAATGCTGGGATTACAGGCATGAGCCACCATGCCCGGCCCTCACCTGTTTAAATAACTTCCTAACTGGTCTTCCGGCCCATGCCCCCTTCAAGATTCTTTAACCCAAGGCTTACAAACATATCACCAAAGGTGGTTTTTTGTTTTTGGCCTACATAAGTTTGGTCATCTCTAAAATTCAGTAGCTATTATATAAAAATAAAGATTTTCCCACTTCCCTTAAACAAAAAACCGACAATCCTGGGTCCCATTTGCAGATGGTCCTAGGCGACTGCTCCCTTTCCATAGAGGCCCTCACTCCAGCTCACAATCTCCATCACTCCCTCTGGCACCACTGACCTGGAGCCAATGCATGACCTTGTCATGTATTATTAGATGGCAGCTATTACACCTGTTGCTATTTATTTATGTTTCCTGCTTACGACATATGTGAACATGTGCATTTTCAACACTCTGATGCCTACATGATCTTCCTAAAATTCAGACCTGATCGAGCTACTTCTCAGCTTAACATTCTTTAATCCCCTCACTACCCACCTCTTTATTAGTGGATGAAGCTCCAACTTCTTAGCTTGGCTGGGTTCTTCTTAATCGACCTCTTTGTCCACTATAATAATTTCCTAGCCCTGCTCCTGCAAGCATGTCCATTCATACTGAATTATAGCCACAGGAATGCGCCTCGCCTCTATGCATTTGTAAAGGTGGTTCCTCCTACCTGGAATGCCCTTCCCTCTCTCTCAGCCCTGCTCACTCTTTGAAGACTCAACTTAAGTCCCTTTGCCCCCAATAAGCCCCTTGCTCCATCTCCTGTACTGAATATGTACCTCTATCACGTATGACTCTTGTAATTTAATCATTGATTTGCCTGTCTCTTTCTTCAGGACTCTATAGCATAAAATTTGGCTGGAACAGAGTATGCCATTTATAACTCTGAAATTCTAAATTCTAATGATTTCTTTCTTTCTCTTTTTTTTTTTTTTTTTTTTTTTGAGATCGAGTCTCACTTTGTCGCCCAGGCTGGAGTGCAGTGGTGTGATCTTGGTTCACTGCAAGCTCTGCCTCCCGGGTTCATGCCATTCTCCTGCCTCAGCCTCCCAAGTAGCTGGGACTACAGGTACCCACCACCACGCCCAGCTAATTTTTTGTATTTTTAGTAGAGATGGGGTTTCACTGTGTTAGCCAGGATGGTCTCGATCTCCTGACCTCGTGATCCGCCCGCCTTGGCCTTCCAAAGTGCTGGGATTACAGGTGTGAGCCACCCTGCCCGGCCGGGAAATTCTAATGATTCCAACTTTTTGGTGCAGGAGAAAGAGCTCGGGCACGAAAGTCAGGCAGCCCTGATTTGATATCTCAGTTTACCATTTATCTATCTTGACCAAGTTCCTTAACCCCTCTGATTCCGTTTCCATATCTATAAATTGAGAATAATAATTCCTACCTCACATAATTGCTATGAGGATTAGAGGTATTTTGTATAAATGCCTGGTACAGTGGCACAGGCACTTAATAACTGGCAGTTAATAGCACAAATAAACAGATCAGGAAAAAACACACCAGACTTAAAAAATAGCCTATTTAATGTGGGCTTAGATGAAGCAAAGTGAAAGCAGGAAAAAGGCGGAAAAGTTATGAGTATGCACAGTGTCTTGGCAATTAGGACGATGCAGGAGACACTTTTAGTTTGATTTTTTTCCCCTTAACCTGACAGCTTTTGATGGAAGACTTGCTTAATTATCAGCTGGCAGAAGTCTGCAAATGATAGGCAGCTCTGTGTATAGAATAATGAATATGATATAAGATAATCTTAGCTAATTACTGTTTACTTGCAAATGTCGTACAACTGGCTTCTTGAGTGTGTGTGTGAAGTTTTGTCTTGTTTTGTTTTTGCACATGTGAATGTTTGTGTGGGGGGAGGCGTGCCTACAAACCTACACCATGGGAGTCCTGCAGACAATAGCTCAGCAGGTGGTCAGGACGGCTAGCTCCCCTTGCAGCCATGCTAGTGTTCCACAGCATCTAGCTAAGGCTTGTCCTTCTCTGCAAACTGCAAACTCCTGGAGGCCCGGGACTGGTCATTCACATCTGCTTTCCTTGCACGTAGTATAATACTTGGTACATAGCAGATGTTCAATAAATATTTTTTATATAGATAAATGGATGAATTGGGAGTTGACTATGTACGTATCTATGAATATATGATATTTATAGACATTTATGTTGTTCCATATATATAAGTTCCATATATATTATATATTTATGTTGTGTTTTATATATATGTATATACACACGCACATACAATCTCACACACTTTTACTCCCATTCTCTCATTCCTGGGGCCAACTTTCCATTTAGTCTGGCTACTGAGTCACATATAGACTATATAGTTCCATCCTTGGTGTAAATTAGACCTTTGAAACAGTCTATAACAGTGCTATCCCAAAGAACTTTCTGTGATGATGAAAATATTCATTATCCAGTATGAGACCAATGGCCATGGAGGCCCTTGAAATGTTGCTAGTCTAAATGAGGAATTGAATTTTGGATTTTATTTCATTTTAATTAATTTAAATTCAAATAGCTACATGTGACTACTGTATTGGTCAGTGCCAGTCTAGAATCTCTGACATTTCTATGTGCTTGTCCAGATAACAGTCATCTGCTAGATCACAGATAACACTTTTTGATGGCGCTTGTATCTGGAGTTGGAAGACTTTTTTTTTTTTTGAGATGGAATCTTGCTCTGTCGCCCAGGCTGGAGTGTAGTGGTACAATCCTGGCTCACTGCAACCTCCACCTCCTGGGTTCAGGCGATTCTCCTGCCTCAGCCTCCCAAGTAGCTGGGATTACAGGCACCCGCCACTACCCCCTGCTAATTTTTGTATTTTTAGTAGAGATGTGGTTTTGCCATGTTGGCCAGGCTGGCGTCGAACTCCTGACCTCAAGTGATCCGCCCACCTCGGCCTCTCAAAAGTGTTGGGATTACACGCGTGAGCCACTGCACCCAGCCTACATGCACTATTCTTAACACAATAAAATTGTTTTGAGGAAAAAATCCTTTATGTGCTTGCAAAGCTTTTTAGTTCAGCAAAGCCCAGTTTATCAAGTTGCGAAGGTGCTGGTTCATTCAGGAATTTAAATTCTTCCTCATGGTAATCTGAACCGAAGTTTCTTATGAATAGGTAGCACTTTTTCCTCAGTGACTGGTGCTTTATGGAAACTTCCTGCTTGTTCACATTGGGCTAAGCATTATGTCAGATAGGATCAAAGTCAGAAAAAAGAAAAGTGGTTCATTTGGGCTTAAGAAATATAAATTGGCGGGGTGCGGTGGCTCATCCCTGTGATCCCAACATTTTGGGAGGCCAAAGTGGGAGGATCACTTCAGCCCAGGAGTTCGAGATCAGCCTGAGCAACATGGCAAAAACCCATATCTACAAAAGTAATAAAAAATATTATCAGGGTGTGGTGGCGTGCATGCCTATGGACCCAGCTACTTGGGAGGCTGAGGTGGGAGGATCACCCGAGCCTGGGAGGTTGAGGCTGCAGTGAGCCCTGATCACACCATTGCACTCCAGTCTGGATGACAGAGCAAGAGCAAGACCCTGTCTCAAAAAAAAAAAAGAAAAAGAAAAAGAAAGAAATATAAACTGAGTAGTGGCTGGGCGCAGTGGCTCATGCCTGTAATCCCAGCACTTTGAGAGGCCAATGCAGGCGGATCACCTGAGGTCAGGAGATCAAGACCAGCCTGGCCACCATGGTGAAACCCCATCTCTACTAAAAATACAAAAATTAGCCGGGTATGGTGGCGTGCATCTGTAATCCCAGCTACTTCAGAGGCTGAGGCAGGAGAATCACTTGAACCCAGGAGGCGGAAGTTGCAGTGGGCCGAGATGGCGCCACTGTACTCCAGCCTGGGTGACAGAGTGAAACTCCGTCTCAAAATAAAATAAAATAAAATAAAATAAAATAAAAATAAAATAAAATAAATAAATAAACTGAGTAGTTGTGAGTCGGTGCTGGGAGCCAGGAGTTTATCACCTAATGGGGGAGATAGTAACATCAACAGTTTGAAAACGGTACAGTAGGTGCAAAGGGAGCAGTGTCACAGTGTTTAGTTTTTCCACGGAAGCATCTGTCACAAGAAGGTCAACAGTTTGTCATGTATGAATGTATAATGGTCAATGTACTGGACGCCTGTGAATTTGATAATCCGAAGATAGAATGGTTATTTCCTTTGTGGAAGTTGAGTTTTGGTGAGCGTTAGCAGTCTTCACCTGGTAAATATTTTAATTATCAGGAAAGCCCTGACATCTTACTATCAACCACATGATTCCAGTTTTCCTACCACTTTCTTTTCTAATTGGCACATCTTATTTTATAGAAGTTACATAATTTACACGAAGACAGAGATCCATAACATCAAAGATAAGATGACTCAAATAAATGCCATTTACTTTAAAACTTTTAACCTATTAAGCCGGGTGCAGTGTGCGCCTGTAAGTCTCAGCTACTTGGGAGGCTCAAGTGGGAGGATCACTTGAGCCCAGGAATTCAAGTCCAGCCTGGACAAAATTGCAAGACACTGTCTCTAAAAAAACCTAAAACTTTTAGCCTATTGTGGTACACAAATCTCATGTAAATAGGAATATTTTGTACCATTTAAAATTCAAAG
Organism: Homo sapiens; assembly: GCF_000001405.40. Lineage (NCBI taxonomy): Eukaryota > Metazoa > Chordata > Mammalia > Primates > Hominidae > Homo > Homo sapiens. Next base: position 244,872,430 of record NC_000001.11, on the reverse strand, counting down.
CCTATAGTACTGAACTATGGCACAGTAGTTCAAATTTCATGTCTGCTGGCCGGGCGCGGTGGCTCACGCTTGTAATCCCAGCACTTTGGGAGGCCGAGGCGGGCGGATCATGAGGTCAGGAGCTCGAGACCATCCTGGCTAACATGGTGGAACCCTGTCTCTACTAAAAAAAAACACAAAAAGTTAACCAGGCGTGGTAGCAGGCGCCTGTAGTCCCAGCTACTCGGGAGGCTGAGGCAGGAGAATGGCGTGAACCCAGGAGGCGGAGCTTCTAGTGAGCTGAGACTGTGCCACTGCACTCCAGCCTGGGCGACAGAGCAAGACTCCGTCTCAAAAAAAAAAAAAAAATTTCATGTCTGCTAATTAATTATAAAATACTGTGAGACTCTAGAGCAAAGTTTTAACAAGTAAAAGCTAAATATGAATAAACTATTATTTCAAAGTTTAACGAAGCTTGCCCATTTATAGTTTTCTTCAGGTCAGCAAAAACGAAACTCATGGAAGGTTCCCCTTGAGGGGGCCTCTACAAATCTAGTTTACTCCGCTTTTTTTTTTTTTTTTTTTTCCTGATACAGGGTCTTGCTCTGTTGCCAGGGCTGGAGTGCTGGTGTAATAACAGCTCACTGCAGCCTCAATCTCCTGGGCTCAAGCGATCTTCCCACCTCCCTGCTCCCAGGTAGCTAAGACTACAGGCATGTGCCACCACACCTGGCTAATTTTTTTTTTTTCAGTAGAGGCAAGGTCTTGCTATATTGCCCAAGCTGACCTCGAACTCCTGAGCTCAAGCCATTCTCCCACCTAAGCCTCCCGAAGTGCTGGGATTACAGGTATGAGCCACCATGCCTGGCTTGATCTGCTTCATTTATAGACAAGAAAACTAATATCCAGAGAAGTCATGCAATTCGCTCAAGGTCACACAGTTGGTTATCATAACAGCGCTGGGCCTCGAAGTCAAGTCTGGTACTTGTGTTTTATTTTTTAAATGTATTTTTGAAGACAGGCTCTTGCTCTGCTGCCCAGGCCGGAGTGCAGTGGCATGATCATTGCTCACTGTAACCTTTTTTTTTTAAGACAGAGTGTCACTCTGTGGCCCAGGCTGGAGTACGGTGGCGAGATCTTGGCTCAATGCAACCTCTGCCTCCAGGGTTCAAGCGATTCTCCTGCCTGAGTCCCCCTAGTAGCTGGAATTACAGGTGCCTGCTACCGAACCCAGCTAATTATTTTGTATTTTTAGTAGACAGGGGGTTTCACCATGTTGGCCAGGCTGGTCTCAAACTCCTGACCTCAGGTGATCCACCCACCTTGATCTCCCAAAGTGCTGGGATTACAGGCGTGAGCCACCACACCCAGCCTGCTCACTGTAACCTTCGACTCCTAGGCTCAAGTCATCCTCCCACCTTGGCCTCCCCAGTAGCTAGGACTACAGGCACTCACCATAATGCCTGGCTAATTAAAAAATACTTTTTATTTTTATTTATTTATTTATTTATTTTTAGAGACAGGGTCTTGCTATGTTGCCCAGGCCGGTCTTGACCTCCTGGACCCAAGAGATCCTCCCACCTCTAGCCTCTCAGAATAGTGAGATCACAGGTGTGGGTCACTGTACCCAACCTACATACTTATGTTTAGACTTTGCTTCACTTATTCCCAGATTGACATCTTACCACAAACAATTCATTGATAACTTACAAAATACATGTAGTTATAATTTCCTTGATAAGATTTAGTATTAATCACTCAATCGTAGGTTTTTTTTTAACTAATTAATTTATTTAGATGGAGTCTCGCTCTGCTGCCCAGGCTGGAGTGCAGTCGTGCAATCTCGACTCACTGCAACCTCCACCTCTCGGGTTCAAGCAATTCCCCTGTCTCAGCTTCCTGAGTAGCTGGGACTAAGGCGCTGGCTAATTTTTGTATCTTTAGTAGAGGCGGGGTTTCACCATGTTGCTAGGCTGTTCTAGATCTCCTGACCTCAGGTGATCCACTCACCTTGGCCTCCCCAAGTGCTGGGATTACAGGTGTGAGTCACCGCGCCCAGCCAATCATAGATTTTTAACTGCCTAAAATTGTTCAGTGTGTCTGATGAAGACTACTATTTTTTGAGCTTTTACTGTGTGCCAAGCACTGTATTCAGTTATTTGTTGAATTTCCCCAACAACTTCAGGTGGCAAGTATTATTTTTATACATGAGTAAACTCAGGCATGGAGAGAAAAATAGCTTGTGCAAAATCACGCAGCGACTATGTGGTACAGCTTCGACTTTCTGAGTTGAAAGTTTGCACTTCTAACCAGAACTTGGTACCTCCTCCCTTGCAGCTGGGCTTTCCTGTTTGTCTATGTGAAAATGTCTACTTTTAGTACAGAATACTTTGGAGGTGTTTCTGACTCTTACATCTTTTGTAAAATACATTGGAAAATGTATCTCAGTATATTTTATGCATCTTTGATTAATTTAAATTGGGCTTGATCGTGCTATACAAAAAACACAAAAACAAAAAAAGGGGTTAAGGCCGGGCATGGTGGCTCATGCTTATAATCTCAGCACTTTGGGAGGCCAAGGTGGGTGGATCAGTTGAGGTCAGGAGTTCAAGACTAGCCTGGCCAACATGGCAAACCCCTGTCTCTACTAAAAATGCAAAAATTAGCTGGAGGTGGCGCACACCTGTAATCCCAGCACTTTGAGAGGCCAAGGCGGGTGGATCCCTTGAGGTCGGGAGTTCAATACCAGTCTGACCAACATGGTGAAACCCCGTCTCCACTAAAAATACAAATAATTAGCTGGGCGTGGTGGCCAACGCCTGTAACCCCACCTACTAGAGAGGCTGAGGCAGGAGAATTGCTTGAACCCGGAAGGCAGAGGTTGCAGTGAACCGAAATTGCGCCACTGCACTCCAGATCAAAACAAACAAACAAAAACCAAGTTAAATAGAACAGCCTCTCGAGTCCTTTTAATTTAGCATTCTTGTCCCCTCATGTCACTCTGCTAACAACGTTCTATGTCTTCCCTCCTCCTGGAGGTGTTTTAGTCCATTTGGGCTCTTCTAACAAACATCATAAGCCGAGTAGCTTATAAACAACAGACACTTATTGGTCGCAGTTCTGGAAGCTAAGAAGCCCAGCGCCTCAGTGACTGGTGAGGGCCCGCCTCCCCACCCAGGGCACCTTCTTGCTGTGTCCTCACAGGGCAGAAGACACGAACGCTGGTCTCTTCAGCTCTGTATAAATTTTCTAATCCCATTGATGAGGGCTCCACGCTCATGACCTCGTTGCCTCCAAAGGCCTCAGCTCCTAATATCATGGGGGATTAGGTTTCAACACAGGACTTTTGTGGGGACACAAACGTTCAGTCCATAGCAGAAAGCAAAAGCCAAAGTCCTTTACAAAACCACCCACGAGGCTGCTGGTGATCTGTGTTTTCCTCTCTCCCCTCTCTCCTCTCCTACCCACTCCCATCATTCCCCGCAGGCCTGAATTCTTTTGTCTTCCTCCCCCAACCTCCCCAGCTTTATGGAGGTATAATTGGTATACGATAACTGCATATAGGCCGGGCACGGTGGCTCACGCCTGTAATCCTAGCACTCTGGGAGGCCGAGATGGGTGGATTGCCTGAGCTCAGTAGTTCACGACCAGCCTGGGCAACATGGTGAAACCCTGTCTCTACAAAAATACAAAAAAAAAAAAAAAAAAAAAATCAGCCGAGGGTGGTGGTGAACGCCTGTGATCCCAGCTACGAGGGAGGCTGAGGCACAAGAATTGCTTGAACCCGGGAGGCGGGGGTTGTAGTGAGCTGAGACGGTTCCACTGCACTCCAGCCTGGGCAACAAAGTGAAACTTTGTCTCAAAAAAAAAGAAAACCCTGCATATAACTAATAAATCTATACATATTTGGTGAGTTTGGACAGACATACACACGCATGCTACCATCACCACATTCAGGAAAATGAACATATCCATTACCTCCAACAGTTTCCTTGTGTACCTTTGTCCTTTTTTTTCTTTTTCATTTTCCCTTTTTTTTTTTTTTTGAGGTGGAGTTTTGCTCTTGTTGCCCAGGCTGGAGTGCAATGGCGCAATCTCGGCTCACCGCAACCTCTGCCTCCAAGGCTCAAGCGATTCTCCTGCCTGAGCCCCTCTAGTAGCTGGGATTACAGGCGCCTGCCACCGAACCCGGCTAATCTTGTATTTTTAGTAGAGACCATGTTGGTCAGGCTGGTCTCAAACTCCCGACCTCAGGTGATCCGCCCGCCTTGGCCTCCCAAGGTGCTGGGATTACAGGCTTGAGCCCACACTGCTCCCGGCTCTTTTTCTTTTTCTTTCTTTCTTTCTTTTTTTTTTTTTTTTTAGACGGAGTCTCGCTCTGTTGCCCGGGCTGGAGTGCAGTGGTGCGATCTCGGCTCACTGCAAGCTCCGCCTCCAGGGTTCACGCCATTCTCCTGCCTCAGCCTCCCGAGTAGCTGGTATTACAGGCGCACGCTGCCACGCCCAGCTAATTTTTTGTATTTTTAGTAGAGATGGGGTTTCACTGTGTTAACCAAGATGGTCTTGATCTCCTGACCTCATGATCCGCCCGCCTCGGCCTCCCACAGTGCTGGGATTATAGGCGTGAGCCACCGCGCCCGGCCTTTTTTTTTTTTTTTTTTTTTTGAGACGAAGTTTTGCTTTGTCCCCCAGGCTGGAGTTCAGTGGCTCAGTCTCAGCTCACTGCAACCTCCGCCTCCCAGGTTCAAGTGATTCTCCTGCCTCAGGCTCCTGAGTAGCTGGGATTACAGGCGGCCACCACCACGCCTGGCTATTTTTTGTGTTTTTAGTAGAGATGGGGTTTCAACATGTTGGCCAGGCTGGTCTCGAACTCCTGACCTCAGGTGATCTGCCCACCTCAGCCTCCCAAAGTGCTGGGATTACAGGTGTGAGCCACCACTCCCGATCTTGTTTTTTGTTTTGTTTTGTTTTTTTTGGGGGGCGGGGGGGAATGAGAATATTTAACGTAAGATCTTAACGGGTTTTTTTCTTTTTCTTTCTTTTTTCTTTTTTTTTTTTTTTGAGACAGGGTCTCCCTCTGTGGTCCAGGTTAGAGTGCAGTGGTACAATCACGGCTCACTGCAGCCTTGACTGCCGGGGGTCAAGTGATCCTGCTACCTCAGCCCCTTGAGTAGCTCGGACTACAGGCGTACCACCACAGCCACCTAATTTTAATTTTTTGTGGAGATGGAGTCTCACTGTGTTCCTCAGGCTGGTTTCGAACTCCTGGCCTCAAGCCATCTTCCCATCTCGGCCTCTCGAAGTGCTGGGATTACAGACATGAGCCGCTGGGCCTGGCCAGCAAATTTTTAAGTGCAGGATACTTTGTTAACTGTAGATCTCTGGAACTGCCTCATCGTTATGACTATAAAATGTTTTTGAGAAAGTATTGAAAAAATATTTGCTGAATAAATTGTGTGACAAAGTATAGCATTTCCTTTGCTTAAACCTCAAAAATGTAAGCTAGACATGCAGAGCACCAAAACTTTGTAGTTACCTCTCACAGATCAATTATTCATAGGTCATTCTTGAATCATTTTTTGTTATTGAGAATTAACTTGTCTCCTCCGGCACGCGGTATTCTTGGTAGCCTCTAGGATTTGACACAGGGGGAATTTAAATTGTCTTAGAGGTCCTTCAGAGATTTACAGGAAGTGACCTGCACTTTAACAGGTCTCTGTAGAGCAGGACTATCATGATAGCATTAAAAATATAAGAAGCAAAAATGATCAATAAGATGTCACCATTTGTACTTTGAAGTGGTAACATAAGACTATGGAATGGCATATTTCCTCTGTTTGTGAAAAGGATAGTATGATGATGGTTCTTTGAGCAGAAATTGTTTTTCTTTCAAATGTTGTCTAAGACAGCACAATGTAATAGAAAGCCCATTGGTGTGGGGGGTGAGGGTCCCAGCTTCCTGGGCAGTAAAATGAACAGGACTGCAGATCGATCTCCAGGCCCCATCCAGCTCTAAAGTTCTCCAAAACTTTTGGAGATAAAGCCATAGAACTTTCTTGTGAGCATCAAAAGTTGTATTTCATGTTTATTTTTGCAACTGACTTAATGTTCCAAGAGTGACTGTTACAGATCTACTATATGTAGATATACAATCTTTGTTTTCATAGTTTAGTGTTTTCCAGTAAATGAAATTTGTTTTCATATAACTAATATTTAAAGGTGTAAATAATATCTAGGACACATAAATTTAAGGAACCATCATAATTGTATTTAACTCTGATTCATTAAGGGATTAGTTATCTAGTTTGTGAACATGTAAACCCCCTGTAGCTCTCTTCCCATTTCTGAACGAAGACAAAATTTCAAATTCCAGTTTGTGGCTTATTCATAACCTTCAAAATTATAACCAAAGGCTAAAATGAGTTTCTGGCACTGTTTGGAAGTTTCTATTTTGGGGGCTATCCTCACCACTTAACTTGAACTGGGGATTATCAGTAGTACTGTACATAGTCCATTAATTTCAAGTCAAATCATTTCACAAGTGTTAATATTTCACGTATACATGACTGCAAGGTATGGTAGAATGCTTCATAAAAGCTACCGAAAATAAACTTCAAAAATAAAATGTATCAATTAGTTAAATCATATTAGCCTATGGGAGAAATTTCAATGTGTTTACTTCCAAATTTCAAATTAATAATGGGGCAATATTATTGTGCCACCTAGAGCACCAAACAGTGGGTATAAACCATCTCCTTAGTCAGATGGAACACTGGCTGGACACTGCAGATTATCTAGGGTTTAAAATGTTAACTTCTATCACGAATCTAAATTCTGACTTCCCTATCTAAAACTTCGAGACATCACATCTTTTCTTTAAAGAGAAAAAGTAAACTTCTAACATATAAAATAACGGATTTCAAGAGCGATAGTCCATTTTTCTTTTTACAAAATCACAGCCCTTGATTTTTCGTAAACTTTAAGTTTCAGAATAATTTGGTCAAGAGTATTTCTACAGGAATAGGAAGAGAATCAAGTGGGCCTATAATCAAAGACCTAGTTGGGTCTCACCCTCACGGTTAGCTACTGGGACTTCGTAGCTGATGACCAGGTCCTAAAGTGGACAGAACAAGTGTTACTGGAGGTCCGTCTTTGTGGTAGCTACAGAAAACTTGGAAATGCAATTCTGAGGTTTATTCAGGGTTATTAAGAGCATGAGAATAGCTGCCCTGCAAAGGCAGGTACACTAAGGTTTGCAGTATGGAGTAGTAAGCAAAGCCTCTACTTCCCAGGCCCCGCACCCGGGGTGTGGAACAGACAAAAGAACGGTTCTGCCCTTGCCCTTCTCGAACTTAAAATCCAATTCGCAAGGCAGGACTTACACAAATTAAACCAAATACGGTATTATGAGGAAAAGAGCCGCTGCGTGTAACAGTTGCCAATGTATGCTATACCAGTCAAAACTGAAATACGATTTGAAGGAGTTTTAAACGAAGAGCTGGAGAAACACATAAGAAGGCAGATCTAAGATGGAAGAAAAGGCGGATTCGGGTTGAAACGCCAAGTTGAGGACTGAAGAAAGCATTTGGATAAAGCAGCCTCCAAGCTGGGAAGGAGAAAAGCCAAACGAGTATAGCCACCAAAGACCCAGAAAGGCCAATATATCATGCAGTGAGTCGGTTGAACTGAAAGGCGGTTTCCTTTTCCTCCATTTGCTCAGTCCCAATTGGAAGCGCACTGCGCGGCCTCCACCGCGCTCTCGGCCCGGGTTCGGCGTGGGGGCGGGGAGGTAAGTACGGTAATGGGCGGGGCCGAGCGCGGGCGCGCTCCGGCTTTCCTCCTGCGCAGTGCTCCCGTCAGCGCAGGGGGCGGGGCGCCTATATTACGTGCGCGGCGCCGCTCCTGCGAGAGGACGTTGCGTGCTCGCTCGCGCCAGGCGAGTCTCCGCGTCTCCCTCGCGAACTCGGTGAAAGGAATTGGCGCCGTTCGACACCAGGCGGATCCGCTCTGCAGCACGAACCCATCTCCAGCCGCAGCCGCAGCCGCCGCCCGGGCCGAGGAGCAGCCGCAGCAGCCGCCACCAGTGGCCGAGTGAGCGGAGCCGAGTTTGAGGCAGCGCCTAGCGGTGAATCGGGGCCCTCACCATGAGTTCCTCGCCTGTTAATGTAAAAAAGCTGAAGGTGTCGGAGCTGAAAGAGGAGCTCAAGAAGCGACGCCTTTCTGACAAGGGTCTCAAGGCCGAGCTCATGGAGCGACTCCAGGCTGCGCTGGACGACGAGGAGGCCGGGGGCCGCCCCGCCATGGAGCCCGGGAACGGCAGCCTAGACCTGGGCGGGGATTCCGCTGGGCGCTCGGGAGCAGGCCTCGAGCAGGAGGCCGCGGCCGGCGGCGATGAAGAGGAGGAGGAAGAGGAAGAGGAGGAGGAAGGAATCTCCGCTCTGGACGGCGACCAGATGGAGCTAGGAGAGGAGAACGGGGCCGCGGGGGCGGCCGACTCGGGCCCGATGGAGGAGGAGGAGGCCGCCTCGGAAGACGAGAACGGCGACGATCAGGGTTTCCAGGAAGGGGAAGATGAGCTCGGGGACGAAGAGGAAGGCGCGGGCGACGAGAACGGGCACGGGGAGCAGCAGCCTCAACCGCCGGCGACGCAGCAGCAACAGCCCCAACAGCAGCGCGGGGCCGCCAAGGAGGCCGCGGGGAAGAGCAGCGGCCCCACCTCGCTGTTCGCGGTGACGGTGGCGCCGCCCGGGGCGAGGCAGGGCCAGCAGCAGGCGGGAGGTAAGAAGAAGGCGGAAGGCGGCGGAGGCGGCGGTCGCCCCGGGGCTCCGGCGGCGGGTGAGTGCTGCGTTGTACGTTGCGCGCGGCGGGAGGCCCGCGCGGGGTGGGGACCGTGCCCCAGGCCTGCCGGAGCCCCGCAGGGGGAGGGAGCCCCGGGCGGGAGGGCGCCGCGGTGAGGGTGGGGGAGGGGGCGCGGGGAATCCCAGATTAGCCGAGAGGCCTCGGGCTCGGGGCGTGTGTGTGCGCGCGCGCGTGTGTGTGTGTGTGTGTGTGTGTGTCGGCGGTGGCAGCGCCTCCATTATGTGGCTCGAGAGCCGGGGGGAGCTGCAGCTGCCGCTGTAGGGGGAGGAGCCGCGGGCGGGCGGCGGGAGGGAGCCCGGTCGGCCCGCGGTGGCGCCGTCGCGCTGCGTGCGCGCGGTGCGGGCACATGTCTCGGGGGGAGGGGAGAGGCCCCAGGTCCCGGGGCGGGCGCGCTTTGGCGGCTCCTCGCCGCTGTATTGTGCAAGGAGCGCAGGGGCTCGGCGTGACGTCACTTCCGGCGGGAGGAGCCGGGCGGGGCGGGGCGGGGGGCGGAAGATCAGTACAATGCGGCCGCGGGGAGCGCGGGCCCGCGGGGGAGGGGAGCGCCGCCGCGCCGGGCTCGGCCCCTCCCCCTCTCTGCGCTCTCTTCGGGATACACGTGGGCTTCGGGCCTGGGCCGCGCAGTTTTTCTTTGGCTTTCTCGAATCATCGAGGAGACTGGCAAAATTAGTAATGTCTTTAGACTGCGTCACTAGCGCCAATCGAATTCGTAGTTGATTGTTCTTTGAATTCACATTTGAGTCCTCGGTTAAAACCTCAGTTAAAAAGCAGGATAAAGTCGAGCTGCTTTGGTTCTCGGAACGGAAAAGCGTTTTTTTGTTGTTTAGAGGCTTGGCCTTTATGGGGCTCGTGTGTGTTTTAGGGGACGGCAAAACAGAACAGAAAGGCGGAGATAAAAAGAGGGGTGTTAAAAGACCACGAGAAGATCATGGCCGTGGATATTTTGAGTACATTGAAGAGAACAAGTATAGCAGGTATAGGATGCTCACCTAGTTTTACTCATCCCTTATTCGTTCGTTGATCGGAAAGCTGTATCAGGAGACAATTCTGTCTTTCAGAGCCAAATCTCCTCAGCCACCTGTTGAAGAAGAAGATGAACACTTCGATGACACAGTGGTTTGTCTTGATACTTGTAAGTGAAGCTGTTTCTCCCCAATTATGAAATGCGGTGATGGTGGTTTTTTTTTTTTTTTTTTTAGAAGTCTTAATGCTTAAGTGCAGCAAAACTTGGGTTAGTTTTTTTAAAAGCAGGAAGATAATGGTTTACATTCAGAACCTAGTAGTTTAATATTTAGCACGTCATCAGTTGTATTAAGTGGATTATTTTACAGGCTCTAGGAGTTTCGTATTTTTATGACTTGAAAGTTCTCATTCTTAGGAAATGTAAAATTAATGCCAGTTTTTGACTAGCTAACGGAAACTTGTAACACTACCTATAATTTAGCCTTACAGGCTTCTACAATAAAGTAATTCATTTTTTTGTGGAATTATATTAAGTGAGCTATTTGGGCTAGTTAAATATTTACTAATGACTTCTCCCATTAGCACACAAGTATATTCCCTATTTTAAAAGATTGTAATATTACTTTTTCAATAACTGCTCTTTTGTTCTCAATTCCAGTTCAGTAGCTGCTGCTTTAAACATAAGTTGATTTCTTCCAAAGACCTGAGGCAGCAGCAGTGGGCTATCACTGGGCCACTAGCTTTCTTCAGCAGCGAATGGTATCAATGGCAGTGCAGCACTGTAAATACTGCTACTTTACCCAGTTGGGTTGCAATTGAGTGAGAAAGTATTGCAAACCTCTAAGTGGGCTTTGACTGTCAGACTTGTTTTTTTTTTTTTTTTTTTTGTTACAAAAAAACGTAGTTGGTTTAGTGATGAGAATGTACAACTCTGGGTGTGATAAATAGACCAAAGGATAAAAATAACTGTTTCAAAAGTATCAGCTATGGTGTCAGCCTGCTGTGTTAGATGGAAGGCATTGGAGCTTAGCTTCTCATGTTTTCTTGTACAAATTGGCTTTATTCAGATTTGTAAGAGTGTCAATGTAAAACTCTTTCTTACTGGAATATCCTTTACAGAAGGTTGAGATAGTCATCTGAGCCTTTTTAAAAGAAAAAACTGCAGGTGAAAAAGGAGTTAGTTGATGTGAAAGTTTTAGTGAAATTCTGGGTTGTATAAATAAGTTGCTAGGAATTGGCAAGGTAGTGAAGTGGTGACTCACACAGGTAATGTAATTGTTAGATTTTTTAGCAAATCAGGAATATGTCAATATAAGTACAATGTTGAATTCAAACAATCTGTTGAATTAAATTCTGTTGATTAGAATAACTCTAATTTAAGAAAAATTCCAAACTGTAGATTTATTTTTCTCTGATCAGTAAAAAGAAAATGAGTTCCAGCTTGACTTTAGCTGTTCAAGTGAGAAGTCTGAGGAAGTGCATGTTAATGAGCCAGTGACCCATAGGTAGCTGGGTTAAAGACACTTTGGATTTGGATAATCCGGGAAGCAATTAATCCCTAATTGTTGAACAGGCAGTCCTGGGTAAAGAGGACCTAAAATGCTGCACTATTAACAGCATTAGACGGCCAGGTTTGTACTTCATAGTTTTAGGCTGTCTTCTTCACAAGTTTTAGAAAAAGAATTTAGGAGCTAGAGCCCTGGTGCAGGATCAACAGCAGCTCATACTCCTATTTTAAAATAATTTGGTCGTGGCCTCCCTTCAGTTTTAATGTGGCACTGGTAAATCTACCTGGTTCTGGCATGCTTCACTTTGATTTCCTGCTATCCTCTACTGCTTGCCTCTAAATCAAGGTAAAGAGCAGAGCAGGTATGTATTAATGTCACATTGTCTTGATTATTTTAAATACTTAAAATATACATGTTAAACCTTGGTATTAGTTTCACAGGCAGTTTACTTTTCAGTACATAATTTAACAGGAGTGACTTGGTGGGAGTGGGGCTTTAAACTGAAAATTGGAACAACAGCATGATGTGGAGAAAAGTTGTGCAGCATTAAGAAGTACATGCAAAAATTAAGTAACCAAGTTTTGTCTACATAGCAGATATGTTTACATTGGATGTCAAAAGTAACACAGTATTTGATATAATTACAGATAATTGTGATCTACATTTTAAAATATCAAGAGATCGTCTCAGTGCTTCTTCCCTTACAATGGAGAGTTTTGCTTTTCTTTGGGCTGGAGGAAGAGCATCCTATGGTGTGTCAAAAGGCAAAGTGTGTTTTGAGATGAAGGTAAATGCAATTTTATGATTTGTTTGTTTGTTTGTGGAGACAGTCTCACTCTGTTCCCTAGGCTGGATTGCCGTGGTGCGACCTAGGCTCACTGCAACCTCCGCGTCCTGGGTTCAAGCGATTCTCCTTGCTTCAGTCTCTCAAGTAGCTCGGACTAGAGGCACACACTACCACACCTGGCTAATTTTTGTATTTTTAATAGAGATGGGGTTTCACCACGTAGGCCAGGCTGGTCGCCAACTCTTGACCTCAGGTGATCCACTGTCTCGGCGTCCCAAAGTGCTGGGATTACAGGCATGAGCCACTGTGCCCAGCCTTTTTTTTTCCTTTTTAAAATAGTGACAAGGTCTCACCATGTTGCCCAGGCTGGTCTTGAACTCCTAAGCTCAAGTGATCTGCCCGCCTGAGCCTCTCAGAATGCTGGAATTACAGGTGCTTCATACTGCTAAGTTATCAAAGGTACTTATTTTTGAAGCTTCCTGTAAATTAAAAGAGGAGCTTGGAACCTTCATTTTGTTGTGACAGTTAATCACGGTTGTTATGTTAGAACTTGCCATGCAGAGCTAGGCGATTTTTTATTTAGGGTACTTCATTTTTATCAAGCATTTGAAAGGGCCACCAAAGAGTTAAAAATAAAATTTGGTTACATTACTGCTTTTGTTGGTGAGAAAAACATTAATTGTATCCTTTAATTGGCTTTAAGTTAAAGACTGACAACATGAACTTTAAAAATATTAAGTATTCTTTTAAATATGGGTCAAATAAGTATTTAACTCTTTAAATTTCAAGTTATAAGCACATCAGTTTAAAGTTCTTACAAATATTGGGGGTGGGCTAGAGTGTGCCTTCTTTGTATTTATAGCTAGAGGAAGATTAGCCCGTGGCGCAATGAAATATGCGAGAGTTAAGGGGTTACCTCCTTGGTGTATTATTTTAATTATTTAATGATTTGACTTTCAGGTTACAGAGAAGATCCCAGTAAGGCATTTATATACAAAAGATATTGACATACATGAAGTTCGTATTGGCTGGTCACTAACTACAAGTGGAATGTTACTTGGTAAAGCTTCTTTTTGACTGATGTGGGCTCATGAATGTTCAGGAGGGTCTGATTTCAGTGTTTTTTAACTAGAGGGCATTCTAAGCCTTTTGTCTGTTTTTATCTATTCTGTTAATACTTCAGACAGGTAATATTAGCACATAGTAGGCACAGGCTACATTTTAGTTTTTGTTCCTTTATTAGAAGTTTATGACCAATGGTTGAAATAAAATCTTACCCGTGATATGCAAATCGTCAACTAATTTGGTCTCTGCGTATATATCCCTCCTAACTTCCATCAATTCTGGTACAGAGATAGAAAAGTAATAGTGTCAGTGACAGGTGATTAGGTTATATGCTTATTTCTCTTGTAGCCTACATCTTAAGTAGTAAAATAGATGAGTCTTTGGACTATTTTAAACATCTACTTCATGAAGATTAATTATTTTCTTAGGTGAAGAAGAATTTTCTTATGGGTATTCTCTAAAAGGAATAAAAACATGCAACTGTGAGACTGAAGATTATGGAGAAAAGTTTGATGAAAATGATGTGATTACATGTTTTGCTGTAAGTTAAAGCTAACTTTCTATGTATAAATGGCAAAGTTAGTAGCTATATCTAGGAACTTTAAAGAAGCTTTACTGAGGTCAGTTTTCAATATGAGCAACAAAATACACCAGTCCCTGGATTAGTGTAAAGACTTCATTCAGCAGTTGAATTGGGAAAACACAGGACATTTTTGAGGAACTCACTAATTCATTTTGACTGAAAACAGTGAACATGAAATTGACCTAGAAAATTCAGTCTAGCTTCTAGGTCAGTATTGTTTCTGGTTCTGGAGATACGTGCTTCATGGTTTACAACCATCAGATTTCTTAACTGTGTAGCCCTTAAAGGCCACCTAATAGTTCTTTAACCTGTAGCTTCCACAGGATAAGCTTTGCTCCTAATTTTAATTCTTAGTTTTTTAGAAAGTTTAAGGAAGCAGATTTTAACTGTTGAATTTTTTTCTGTGTAACAGAACTTTGAAAGTGATGAAGTAGAACTCTCGTATGCTAAGAATGGACAAGATCTTGGCGTTGCCTTCAAAATCAGTAAGGAAGTTCTTGCTGGACGGCCACTGTTCCCGCATGTTCTCTGCCACAACTGTGCAGTTGAATTTAATTTTGGTCAGAAGGAAAAGCCATATTTTCCAATACCTGAAGAGTATACTTTCATCCAGAACGTCCCCTTAGAGGATCGAGTTAGAGGACCAAAGGGGCCTGAAGAGAAGAAAGATTGTGAAGTAAGGGATTTTTTTTTTTTTAACTGTGGCATTTGAATATTGCTTGCCTGGCACAAAATGACATTTAGAAGAACTAGATGATTAGTCTGTTTCATTTACTTTGTGCTGTGCATATTGCTCTTAAGTAATTGTTTCCCCCTTATGTTGACTGTTAATCTTTCCATAAACAAATTTTTGTCCGTTAGTGTAAGGGCTATGAAAACTTAGATATTTAAATTGGCCTTAACAATATTTAAAGAATTATTAGGTGGTGTCTACTGACAGTGAAATGACATTTCTTTTCTTTTCACTAGGTTGTGATGATGATTGGCTTGCCAGGAGCTGGAAAAACTACCTGGGTTACTAAACATGCAGCAGAAAATCCAGGGAAATATAACATTCTTGGCACAAATACTATTATGGATAAGATGATGGTAAGTAAAATGTTTAGGGCCTGATCTCAGTGTTTAAAATAGACTGGGAGAGGCTGGGCATGGTGGTTCACGCCTGTAATCTCAGCATTTTGAGAGGCTGAGGTGGATGGATCACCTGAGGTCAGGAGTTTGAGACCCACCTGGCCAACATGGCGAAGCCCCGTTCCTACTAAAAATTTAAAAATTAGCTGGGTGTGGTAGTGGGTTCCTGTAATCCCAGCTGCTCGGGAGGTTGAGGCAGGGACAATTACTTGAACCTGGGAGGCAGAGGTTGCAGTGAGTTGAGATCGTGCCATTGTACTCCAGTCTGGGCGACAGAGCAACACTCCGTCTCAGAAAAAAAAAAAAAAGAAAAGAAAAATTATAGACCGGGAGGTATTCTAGGTAAACTTTTTGTCTTTGTCTCTATCCATTTTGTTAGTATCTTAAAGAGATGGGAGGAAAGGCAAGATTAAGTTGGTTCTTTCAACTCTGAGGGTAAACTGCCTTCCACTGGCTAGGCTTCTGTTTTTTTCCGTAGTGTTTTTGAGCTCTTAACATCTAGCAGCTAAAAAGAATTGAGTAAGTGTAAGGTCTTGTTACATAGTTTAAGTGACCCTGTTTTTGTAGCAATAATGGACAAAGGTAATATTTAAATTATAAAATGTTGCCTGCTTTACATATAGATATGAGTTGAATTTTAAAAAGCATAACTTATTAAAATTCACAAGTTCAAGGGGAAATTTTAACTTTTGAATATAGGTGGCAGGTTTTAAGAAGCAAATGGCAGATACTGGAAAACTGAACACACTGTTGCAGAGAGCCCCCCAGTGTCTTGGGAAATTTATTGAGATTGCTGCCCGAAAGAAGCGAAATTTTATTCTGGATCAGGTACGCTGTAGCTTTGAAATTGAAAAATATTAACTGATAATTTAGATAGATTGGTGTAGAATTAATGTTTAGGGTTGTAAACATAAATTTCTTTTTTTAAAGACAAATGTGTCTGCTGCTGCCCAGAGGAGAAAAATGTGCCTGTTTGCAGGCTTCCAGCGAAAAGCTGTTGTAGTTTGCCCAAAAGATGAAGACTATAAGCAAAGAACACAGAAGAAAGCAGAAGTAGAGGGGAAAGACCTACCAGAACATGCGGTCCTCAAAATGAAAGGCATGGAATTTTAATTCTGTTACTGTGTGAAATCTTCTTTTTAAAAGAATGTTTTTCCTACATATTCTGCTTGTGTAACTATGTTAAATCTATTAGGACTTAGGCCTCCTGAAAGTTAACATTTTTTCCAGCAATACTGCTTCAGGAATTAAAATTGCAGTTGTTACATATGCATATATGTTTGGTCTGTTTTTATTTTTAGGAAAATATGTTACTAAACCTCAAGAATTGTCAGCTTTAGGATTGTGAGGATTCGTGGTGGGTTTCTAAATTAATAATATGACTTTGTTTCCTGCAGGAAACTTTACCCTCCCAGAGGTAGCTGAGTGCTTTGATGAAATAACCTATGTTGAACTTCAGAAGGAAGAAGCCCAAAAACTCTTGGAGCAATATAAGGAAGAAAGCAAAAAGGCTCTTCCACCAGAAAAGAAACAGAACACTGGCTCAAAGAAAAGCAATAAAAATAAGAGTGGCAAGAACCAGTTTAACAGAGGTGGTGGCCATAGAGGACGTGGAGGATTCAATATGCGTGGTGGAAATTTCAGAGGAGGAGGCAAGTTAATTTTGAGTGTTCTGTATTTAGTTCAGGATCGAAACAAGTGATAATTTTATAGTTTGGATGTAGCTGAAGTTTCTTCCTCATTAATGGTATACTGTCACAGTAACTAAAGTATTCATGTGATTTGATATTAAATACACCTAGGTTATGTTAATGGTTAGAATTAAACATTTCTTTTGTCTTTAAACAATTATTTTTGGAGAAAAAGGAACAATCTAGAGGAATCCTAAGTCTTCTGTATAAGTAGGGTACAATATACAATGAAACTAAAACAGCTCTTGTCTTTTAGCCCCTGGGAATCGTGGCGGATATAATAGGAGGGGCAACATGCCACAGAGAGGTGGTGGCGGTGGAGGAAGTGGTGGAATCGGCTATCCATACCCTCGTGCCCCTGTTTTTCCTGGCCGTGGTAGTTACTCAAACAGAGGGAACTACAACAGAGGTGGAATGCCCAACAGAGGGAACTACAACCAGGTAATGATTCAAGATCCCTGGAAGCATGATTGATAACTGTAGCTTAGTCTGGAAAGGTGTGAGCTTTATGTTGGGGTGTCTTAGTAATCCGTAAGGAACATGATAGGCATTGACATAAGGAAAATTGAACTAGTAATGGTGAAATGAGTCTACTTACTTTTGAGTTTTTTCAGGTGTACTAAACAAGTCAGATGCATTTCTCATAATGAATAAAAAATTAAAACATAAGAAACCAGCAGAGGGTATCCAGAATTTGTGTATTGCTTGCTACCTAAGATTAGGGGCTAGCAACCTGTCCATTTCTGCTCCTCTCTCTCACCCCCACAAACCTAACAAGCAATTGGGCTCAGAGCTCTTAGAGAGTATTTCCTTTTTGTAGAACTTCAGAGGACGAGGAAACAATCGTGGCTACAAAAATCAATCTCAGGGCTACAACCAGTGGCAGCAGGGTGTAAGTAATTTCTTATGTGCTTTATGTACATTAATTGTATTTTGAGTTCCTAAGATTTATCAGTCTTGAAAAAGATCTTGTTCAGGGATTGAAGTGTTTATAAGTGTTAATAGGGTAAAGTGTGAATCGTCTTGCAGTAGTAGCCATAATCTACCTTTTGAAGGCAAAATAGGTTGAAGATTGCTATAAGTTAAATTTTTTTAATAAAGTAATATTATTTAATATATACAGTTCTTTTACTGCTAGCTTTAATTGTGTAAACTAACAAAGTCATGATGTTTCGTTTTGTAATGTGTATTGATAATTATGGGATATTAAAACTAAATCTGGTTTGGTAGAAATCAGAGGTATGACAGGTATAAATTTGTTTCCAGCAAATTACTCTGAATTAGATTCATTGTCATTTCCTAAAAACAGTTTGAGTGGCTTATTGATGTTTTTTCTTTAAAAACAAAATTTTCTCTTACAGCAATTCTGGGGTCAGAAGCCATGGAGTCAGCATTATCACCAAGGATATTATTGAATACCCAAATAAAACGAACTGATACATATTTCTCCAAAACCTTCACAAGAAGTCGACTGTTTTCTTTAGTAGGCTAACTTTTTAAACATTCCACAAGAGGAAGTGCCTGCGGGTTCCTTTTTTAGAAGCTTTGTGGGTTGATTTTTTTTCTTTTCTTTTTTGTACATTTTTAATTGCAGTTTAAAAGTGAATCGTAAGAGAACCTCAGCATTGTGCACGATAAGAGAATGTGTCAGTATTTCAGGGTTCTACATTTTATCTGTAAAATGTGACTTTTTTTTTTTTTTATCACAACAGAAGTAAAATGTTGCTTTGTACCTGGTGTCTTTTATTAAGAATTTACTCCCCCCATTTCTCACAGAGAATAACAGTCGGGAGTCATTGTCACAATATAATAGAAATGTTAGCAACCAGATTCATGTAAGGACTAAGTGGTCCTCATGAATTGCATTAAGACTCTGTACTGCTCATATTACACTCCATCCTCTCTGTAGTTTGCTGGGTAGTGGAGGGGGTAAGCTAAATCATAGTTTCTGACAATAACTGGGAAGGTTTTTTCTTAAAATAACAATGGAATTGGTATAATTGGGATTGAAAACTAAAACTTGGAACTAAGATAGAGAAGATGGAGTGTATGTAGAAGGGCTGTTAAAAATGTAAAACTTGGTTGCATTATTTGTGGAGGCTCAAACTTGTGAAGGTTAATACCATAATTTTTCCATTTGTTCTGCATTTTGATTCTGAAAAGAAAGCTGGCTTTGCCCATTTCTTATTAAAAAAACTTGTTGTAAATCCAGTTGTCTAATGGGATCTATATGAAGTTAGCCATGTCTGTATGCCCTTCTCCCACAAAATACTGTATAACTAGTGTGCTTGTAGTAGTTAACTCCACCATCTTTGTAAGCTAATGAAATTGTGAGTCACCCATTTATATCTTAATTTTTAATCATGTCAGTTCTTGAATGGGTATCTCCTTAGCCTGCTGATTTCTTTTTCTTTCTAAAGAAAGTGGGTGGAGAAATTAATTTAGACGTTTGTTTGCAATAAAAAGAATTCATTTTACTCTTGTTTTGGGATTCTCGCCATCAAGGTTCAAAATCCCTTTATATAACTCCCAAGAGGAGAAATTTATTAAGTGTGTGCTTTCTGGACAGCTTATTCTTTACTCTGCATAGAACATTTAGGTTTTAAAAACTTAAATGTATACTGACAATTGATACATAATTATGAAGTAAAGTTGAATTCTTCCCTTCCCCTCCCCCCCAGACAACTTTTAACATATTTAATGAGGGGAAAAGGTACTGGCTGGGAGAAGTTAACACTGAGTTTATCATCTTTACAGAATGCTAATGCTGTCCTCAACTGATTATTTTATATACATATATATGATACATGAAACTCTGGGATCAGATGCTTTTAGAAGCCATCATGCAAGCCAGTCATTGATGTCACTGCTACACAACACTGCTAACTTGACTGTAGCTATGTAATAACATTAGATCCCCTAATTGTAATTATATTGGGTTTGCACAGAACACTTTAATCTTCCCCTCACCAATGTGAAGTGAGGAATCAGGAGTCAAACTGTAGAACTAAAATTTGACTTCAGTCTAGCGTTTCCTTGGTGTTTTTAGGTTGCTTTGGTAAGTTTAGGTTTGCTATATTTCTGATTGCTTAGAATTTTGTTTTAGCCCTTTAAAATCAGATCATAAATATGAATTCATACTTCTAAGGAATTTTCTTGCTATAAGCTGGAGTTTAGGTGATGTATAGGTTCAGTTGAGACATTTTTGGAACAGGCAAATCCTTAGTTAACATAAGATATTTAACAGTTGAAGATAGTGTCATGGATTTTTATCTTTTTTAGCAAGTAATGCTAAGAACCACTGGCCTGAGCTACTACTCTTCAGTATACATTATTAGGATTGCATAGACTTACTAGAGGAACAGTTTCAGGTTTTGATGCTAATCAGTGTTGTGTCCTAAAGTTGTCCTTTGTGCCTTTAAAAAGTTTTGGATATATCTTCTAGTTTAAAATTGCTTATTAAGGAATTCATTTTATAATTGCAGTGGGAAAGTAATGGTCAAGTAACACTAGGTAGACTATCATGCCTGTTTAGCCCAGAGAATTTGGGGGGAGAGAGAATAGATAAAAATGGCACCCAGAAAAATGTTAAAATCTTTAGTCAAGACTAGAATTAATACAATTGTCTACACTTGTATGGCAGAAATAACCTTATAAAGTGTTTAAGGAATTCAGAGAAGGGAATGTACCAAATAAGCAACAGGGAGAAAATTAGGTAAGAAGTAAGATACGAACGAGAAACCTGATTTATTGCTCATCCTTCCCTTGCCTCCCTAATGGCAAGCAAAACTCTGAACATCTGAAAAGGATGTAGTTCTGGACAAATCCTGACTACCCAGAGGAAACTCACTGTGAGATTGCTGTTGATTTGAAGGGTGCTTTCACTAAGGTTATATTTTAAAGTAGAATAACACATGCTGAGTGTAAACTGGCTTTGGATTGGTCAGCTGCAGTAGTACAAAAACAGCATAGAATTTGAGAAAACTAAAACTGCTATGAGATAGCTATGAGAAAACTAAAACTGCTATGAGATAGAAATGATGTAAAATTATGTGGAAAGTTTTCCCTCATATACTCACATACAGCCTTTGAAGGGCTCTGGCTCTGACCGGTTGATGGCCTTGAGCGAGATGAAATCATGAAATTGAGTCAAATCAATTTGACATTGAAATGACAAGAGGAAACTCTTAAATACATAAAAACAAGCTCTCATTTGCCTAGGATAGATACTGTCTTAAAAATAAAGACTGAACCTAGATGTTCTGAGCACTAGCAACAAGGTATTTTAACAAGTTTAAAGGAATTCTCTGAAAAAGTTATAAAATTATTCTAGGAAACATAACCATAATAGTGTTTTAAGGGACTTTCACCTGGGGATTTTATATTCATGAACAGAGTGTATTCTGTATTTAAAATGTCTCATTTGTGGGAATTGGATGACATGTTTTTTGATAAATTTATTCACAATATAAATTGACTTTTTATTCTAGGACCATGTGAATAATGGGTTCCATTGCACAAATACAAATATTTTAATAGCTTCTTAGGCAGTGGTGTAGACATCTTGGATATAAATAATTGTAGATCTTGTATATTTGATTTTTAAAAAACTAGAATAAACAGAGAGGCATAAACATATCTTAGAGTCCAAGTGGTAGTGTTTAGCATTGGATATAATAAATGGATGTTTTACAAAGTGTTTCCATAATTCTCTTCCTATACATAAATGTCTTGTTTTCAAAAGTGGATGGAACTTGGCTGGGTGTGGTGGCTCACGCCTGTAATCCTAGCACTTTGGGAGGCCAAGGCGGGAGGATCACTTGAGCTCAGGAGTTTGAGACCATCCTGGGCAACATAGTGAGACCTGGTCTCTTGAAAAAAAAAAAGTGGATGGAACTTGTAGCAGAGAATTTTATCTACTTCTCAACCTGCTTCAGAATACCCATTTGAGATGTTCCCCTGGAAAGATGAACACAATACTGCATCTGAAGCCATTTCTTCCCACCTAACATTCTTAAAATGATTAGAGTCTAAACTTTGTCATTCATTCCTAATTCTGGAGCTCTGAGGTTGAGGTGTTCAGAGTTTGGTGAATAATTGGGTTTAAGTTTTAACATTTTAGTAATAATAAAAGCAAACACATACATGTTAAGGCCTGACAATAGGTTGCAATACCCATGCATTGGGACTCATACCCAGCATAAATGGTGAGGGACTGAACATTAGTGCTTTGAGCAAGAATTGGTTAACTACCTGAGATCTCTAAAACAGTAATTTGAATTACTAATACATAAACCACAAGTCTCTTCGAATTGTTAATTGCCTAAATTTACCCTAAAACTTAGTTAACGCTGCAGTGCCTTTATTAAAGCTTTTTTTTGGGGGGGGGTGTGGGCACAGCTACTCCATAACTTTAAATTTTAAAGCATGAAGGTGATCTAGCTAGTGTTAGTGCTTGAGTTGGTAGTTACATAGGCTGCTCTTGAATCGTCCTGTTTTCTTTGCCTAGTATTAGCACCACAGGTACATATTTGTAAAATAAGCATTAAAAGTACTTTGTCCAGCTAACTCATGTTGGAGTGACCTTTGTCTTACTAACCTTTGTTACTAAACTTGTTAATTAGAATAAGCCCTTGAGAATTTGGAAGTGAGCTATACTACTAATGTAGTATATATCTCTTGAGTGTGTTGGAGTAGATGAAAAACCAGGGGTCCCCAAGGGTATATTTTTGAAATTGAACAGAAACAATTCATCTTAATATTTAGTTTTCATTATGTTTAGCTTAATATGTGTGCTAGTTTATTTGGCGTCACACTTATGTCAATCTCAAGTCATGCAGAAATAGCACAGTCTCAGAAAAGAGGTTAGGTGGGAAATAGATGATATGCTTACATTATTGAGCAGGACTATGCTTTCACATCCTAACCAATTGACTAAAAATATAAATGATTGAAGTAATTTTCATTAGTTGCCCCAGGAGTCTTTAATAATAGTTTTAAGGGATAGTAGATTGGACATAGATAGATGGGTTATTCATAATGGATATTCATAATGGATATTCATAATGTTAACCTAGAATTATTCAGAAAATATAACACCTATGTAGTAGAATCTATTGATTGTAAGCCTAGTGTTGGTAGGCAAACATGTTGATGATGGGCCAGGACATCAGTAATCACTACTTGGTTAGGCAAGTAATTAGGACAGGGATTGTAATCATGTCAATTTGTAGCTACCTAATTTTTATTGATTAGGATACTTTATTTTTCATGCCAGGATTCAGCATATACTTAGGTCTTGAGCAGGGGCTTTGCTTTTAAAGCTGAATCCTGGGCATAAGAAGCTATGTACTGTAGTTGAAAGTGAAGTAAATGTCAATGTAGGCTAGTCTCTAGAGAAATGTCTTCTATAAAGATTCAGGGTTTTTTTGCACCATTATGATCACCATACTGTGCCAATGACATAGTTACTCATGAGCATGTCCAGTCTGTCTACATTAATGAAGGATAATGCAGAGATCACAGGCTGGAGAGTTACATCTGACAGAGAAGTGCTGCACTATTGGGGCATATTCTTTCCTGCTATTCCTTTAACAGTTCCATTCTGAACCTTACAGGAAGTAAAATAAGTTATGTCTGGTAAAATATACGTTGCAAACACTTAAAGCATTGCCACAAATTGGTGACAGCCAAGACATTTTTAAAAATTTTAAAACACCAAGAATAGACGTGGCTAGTACAGACACCAGTTTATAAGTGTGACATTAATGCTATAAAAGTTAAAGCATATATAGAGATACCTAAAGAGTTATTGGGGCTTATTTAAATGTCAACTAACAAAGGAATTTTTTGAGGCAGCTTGTATCCTGTATCAGTTGTTTGTAGTTAAAGATTGGGAGAGTCATGGTCACGTACAAGAAAAAAAGATTCCAACATAACTTTTTTTTTTTTTCTTGAAAAGTAAAGCAAACAAATGTGTTGATTTACATTTCATCTCCTTTTCCTTAGTCTGTCCATGTGAATGTGCTGTGTGGAAGAGTTAAAGGGCCCAACTAAATGTTCCAGTGATTCCAATAGGTATTCCAAATTAATTGCTGCTTGTACATTTAATAGTTATGTTAGGCTTCCAGAATCACTTTAAATAGGACTCTTTTTAAAAGATGGGGGAAGAGAGTAATTGGTAATCAGATGGACAGAGTCTCTGTAACAGAAAAAAAAGGGTGTTTTCTCTTGCATATCTGAGGTGAAGTGTGTATTCTGTGTGCTCTTAGCAATTGGCAGTCCTCTTGCTTAGGTTTACAGGTGTATGTGAAAATAGACCTGAGTCTTTTCAAAGTTAGATCATTTTTCTGATTTCATCTTTTAACTTTTGGCAATACATTTGTTTTGATATCCACCCTACTTGGTAGAGTGTAAGTACTTCCTTACAATGTTCTAATGTAAAACAGTGCATAGGAGACCTTTCTGTCCTTGGTTGCCCAAAATCTTTTTCATTTCTACTAAATTCAGAAATACATATTTTTACTAGCTTATGAAAATTTGGAAAATAGCTTGACATCCTTTTGGATAATGAAGTGATTAGTTCATATATTGAAGTATATAAAATCAACTAGGAAGTAAATTCAAGACTGAAGGAATGGGAGAGCTTGTGTGAGTTTTGGTTGTATCAGTCCAGAATATGTAATTTTCCATTTCCCTGAAAAAGACTTCAGAGGAAATTTATTTTCCCCACTATACGCTCCAGAATGTCTTTCGGTGAAATGAGAGGGCTTGGGCTCTTCTGATTCTAGACGTAGCTATCAGAGTTTGCTTAATGAAATATGGGTCTACTCACAAATAAAGCAATTTAATGGTTTCGAAAGAGTAGGCAACTTGTGGTTTCATTACCATTTCTGTTCATTTGAGAAAAATCATAAAATTACAGAAAAGGAAACATTCATTTCAAAAATAAGCTTTGAATTTAGATGGTAAGGCATATATGTTTTATTTCACATGACTTCAGGGTAGAAGTCAAATGAAGAAACATTTCTATGGAAACTTACCCTTTAAGAAACCAGTATATGCAAAGAATGATTGATACCCCCTGAGGGTGTGCCATATAATAGGTGACTGATAACATACAGGATTTAATTCTTAGAATAATTAAGAACAGATATCACCCATTACATTGACCTACATTTTTCTAAAGTGAACAATAGAAACCTCTCTCAGAATTAGTATTTGCCTATTAATGTAATCAGTGTAGCCTTCTCAACATAAAAATGTCCTTATTCTAGAACATGGAAGCGTACGGCAAATGCAACGGTTGAAAGCACTGAAAAATATTTGTAAAACATCTGTAGTGCTCACATTATGAACTTTAAATGTAATACTTTGAAAACCATCTTCATAATTTTTTTGTTCTAACAGCTTCCTTTTTAAGAAAACATTTTAAAACATTTTAAAATGGAACT
Organism: Homo sapiens; assembly: GCF_000001405.40. Lineage (NCBI taxonomy): Eukaryota > Metazoa > Chordata > Mammalia > Primates > Hominidae > Homo > Homo sapiens. The sequence goes on along the minus strand of NC_000001.11, from coordinate 244,847,411 downwards.
TAATGTGCAAAATAAGTTGTGTAAAATACCAGTATTTGGGTGGTGGAGGATATTGGTATATTATATTGACCTGGGTTGATGACTACTGGACTATTTTAAGATACCTACTTCCAAAACTTATTTTATTCTAGAGGACCACTAAAAATCAGAATTACAGCAATCATTTTAATTTTTCTACTTTCCTTGTTAAGGTCTTCTGCTTACCCAAAGAATAGTGTATATCTTAACATGACTTTTAAAGGGGTATCTTGATCCCCATCACAGATTTTTATCTATGAATAGAAGGATTGAAACCCTATTTGATCCCTAGCTCTTTGCTGAAAAGTGCATAAACAGGAATCCTGAATTTATTATATAGACCTCCTCGCATTATATAATCGAAGCAAAGGGAAACCAGCGATGGAGTAGAGGTACGTAGACTAAAGAGATGCTTGCAAATGATGGTACCTAGGGATAGTCACATTTTCTTGTTGCCAAACTCAGACAATATAATCACAAGTCCAGAGAAGAGCTAGTTAATTTTAAATTCCCCGAGGTCCTTTTACTGAGATGGAAAAGCACAAACAGTCAAGGAAAACCAAAGAGGGAGGGGTGAGGGAAGGGGAAAGTGCATAAAGCACTTAAAGATTTTTTAAAAGTAGGTATGATAGATAAGCCACAAGAAGTTTTTAAGACTACTAATAACCATAATTCTATTTTAATCAGCTATTTAGCTGGTACCTACTGCTATATCACCTAGTGTGACATTTCGGAATTAATGGAACAATGAAGGAAGCTGTACACTGGAGGTTCCAGGTGGTCATGGAAGGTAGGTTACTCTTAAAGTTTGAAATTGTAAAGTGTGAAAGTCTGGATAGAGGGGAAGGGGAACCTGGACTATTTTTATTTTTTTTTGAGACGAGTCTGGCTCTGTCGCCAAGGCTGGAGTGTAGTGACGTGATCTTGGCTCACTGCAACCTCCACCTCTCGGGTTCAAGCAATTCTCCTGCTTCAGCCTCCTGAGTAGCTGGGATTACAGTTGCACACCACCATGCCAGGCTAATTTTTGTATTTTTTTTTTTTTAGTACAGGCGGGGTTTCACCATGGTTGGCCAGGCTGGTCTCGAACTTCTAACCGTGTGATCTGCCTGCCTTGGCCTCCCAAAGTGCTGGGATTACAGGCGTGAGCCACCGCACCTGGCCAGGAACCTGGACTGTTTCTTTTTGTCTAGCATTTATTGACTATCTTGTGCCAGATACTTGGATGAGAATGTAAAGATAAAAATGGCCAAGGTTTTTGCCAATGAGAAACTTAGGCTGTATGTGATTGTACCAAATACTGGTGACCAAGAAAAGCACCAACTATTATAAGACACAAAATAGTGAGAACTTAAATGAAAAGGTGATTGTAATTCCCAGAAGCTAGTGAGCAAAAGAATGGAAAGTTACAGAGAGGAGGTAAAAAAGGCATTCCAAATGAAATGAAAAAGTTGGGAGTGGCAGCATGGATATGGTATAAAGGTCATAGTGCACTGGGCATGGTGGCTCACGCCTGTAATCCCAGCACTTTGGGAGGCCGAGGCAGGCGGATCACCTGAGGTCAGGAGTTCGAGACCAGCCTGGCCAACATGGTGAAACCCTCTCTACTAAAAATACAAAAATTAGCCAGACGTGGTGGCACGCACCTGCAATCCCAGCTACTTGGGGGGCTGAGGCAGGAGAATCGCTTGAACCTGGGAGGTGGAGGTTACAGTGAGCCGAGATCACGCCATTGTACTCCAGCCTGGGCGACGAGAGTGAAACTCCATCTCAAGAGAGAAAAAAAAAAGGTCATAGTGCATTGAAGGTTTGGCAAAAAACTAAATAGTTTGGACGTGAAGTTGGATGGTAGGGTAGACATTGATAGGAGAGACTTTCGTTCTACCAGTCTCTCCTTATTGAGGGTGGGTGTTACAGACTTTGGTAATTTATTAATACACTTGTAAAATCTTAATAGCATAAGAATAAAAATTATTAGTGATCATGTAAATACATGAAACATTTAAAAAATAATCCAACCAAATATGTTACAACTTTGTTTTTATCCAGGTTTCCAGTTTATGCAAACTTCTGTGAAAATGAGCTTTGTTATTGGTGAAGACATTGGAAATTTTACCAGCCAAAACAGAGTTTCTCTCTTATTCAGGGTAAGATGTAATTGCAGTGTGCTAGCGCTGGAAGGGACCTGTTTTATATGTTATGTATGTTACACGTCAGCCCTCCATGTCCTCCAGTTCTGCATCCTTGGATTCAACCAACTGTGGGTTGAAAATACTGGAGGTAAAAAGACAAAAAATAACAATGAAGAACAACAACAAAAATACACAGTATAATAATTACATTTACATAGCATTTATTTTGTATTAGACATTATAAGTAATCTAGAGATGATTTAAAGTATATGGGAGAATGTATGTAGATTATATGGAAATATGAGGGTATTTTATTTAAAGGGACTTGGGCCTGTGGATACCAAGGAATAACTAAGGTAAAACTGAGCATAAGTGGCCTGTCCATATTTTGTTAAATATCAGATTATTGATTAGTGATCATCAACATTTTCCCGCATTCATGCAGTGCGGCCTCTGAAAACATGGTTGAACATCCTATGGAATTTTTTTTTTTTTTTGAGATGGAGTCTCACTCTGTCACCTAGGCTAGAGTGCAATGGCGCGATCTTGGCTTACTGCAACCTCCGCCTGCCCCACCTCGGGTTCAAGTGATTCTCCTGCCTCAGCCTCCTGAGTACCTGGGACTACAGGCATGCACCACCACGCCCGGCTAATTTTTGTATTTTTAGACGAGACAGGGTTTCACCCTGTTGGCCAGGCTGGTCTCAAACTCCTAACCTCAGGTGATCCAACTGCCTCGGCCTCCCAAAGTGCTGGGATTACAGGTATGAGCCACCGTGCCCAGCAGAATTTTTTAACTATTTGGTTACGACTAATTTGGATAATGTAGTGCATGCAGCTTTGATTTGTGCCACTAAGAGTGGGCAAACTGTCTTCCTTTTTGTGAATCAGTAAAAATTTTCCCTCAACATGTGTTTGACAGTTGTCATTCACTGCTAAGTTAAGGCATTTGGTAAACCACACAGCCTCTGCATCCTTCCTAGCGACAGCCACAAGAAAAGGTGGGCATGGGAGGGAAAATGCTCTTGTGAATTGAACTGGAGGCAAGCTCCACTTTTCTTTAGAAAAAGATGTAGATCAAAATAACTAATATTTTCTTCCTTGCTCGATTTCTGTGCCTTCCATGGTACATCAAAATAATAGGACCAGTAATGGCCACAATCCTGTTGACTGCTGTTACCTTCGCCCCAATATTTCTTTAAGCATTTCTTAAGCATCTAGCTTGTGTTTTGTTATATTTAACAGATTTTCTTAAAGTATTGTATGAATTAAAACCAGAAATAACTTCATTTTCCTAGAAAGGGATAATTTCTCCCGGAGAATAAATCCTGAGGATTTAGTTAGATGCTGTGGGTATTGTATTTTAAATAATATTTTAATGGGAGCAGCTGATTGACTTTCAAATGGATTGTTTACATTAATAGTAATTCTGCAGTTGTTTTACTATTGCATCAGTCTGCCAGACAAGTTCCATGTGCATATTTTAATTCAGAACTAATTATACTTAAAAATTTAAACCCTGCATACTTCCCCAAAAATGTTTAGGGCAGTTAAAAACAACTCTTTTGGAAGATGACTCGCATTTTAAGAAATGAGAGAACACTGTCAAATGATGAATGCATTTAAAAAATAATTTGCAAAGTGATAAAAGCCCTTAGTTTTAAATCTTACAATGACATTAGCTCTTACAAGAACTCAGTAAGTATTTGCTGTTTTTTAATGGGATAGTAATAAGGTTGAGGTTTTTGTTAAGGGACGTTTACTTATCATCAAACTCTATACTTACTACTACAAGGAAACTCCAAGTACATTAAACACTATGTTTTATAATTCTTTGCCACACTGCCAATAAATTCTGTTCACATTTTAAGGATGACAAGTCCACTATATGTAACACGTAAGAATGCTATCCTGGCAGTAGACACAGGGCCAGAATAAACTGGCAAGTTTTCATTCCACACAAGTGTGGGAAAAAAATGACTACAACTTAAACTTTATTTACTTGATTGAGAGCTTATTGCACATGAAATGTTTTATGTGGTTGATCTTAACTTCGTTTACATTGACTTCTATGCTCAAGATTGTTCAATTGCTGCTGCTGCCGTTGTGTTTTCTTTCAGGATCGAGGTGGGTACCTTCATATAATATCTTCTTTTTAATTTCTTCTCTGGCAATTCTTTCCTGGATTCTTTGCTTTGCATAATTATACCTACAATGAAACCTTAGAAGAAAAGAATATGAATAAATTGTTAATATAAAGTCCTACAGAAATTAATTTATGAAATTTCTCTAAATCACACAAAACTTAAATACAGATGACTACTACCCTGAGACTGAAAAATATGTTCTAATTTATAGTGCTATTTTTGGGCAGTTTTGGTGTCAGAATACCTATCAACACATTCTTTTTTTATTAGGAAAAAAAGGATGTCTACATAACAATTTGTAAAGTGATAAAATCCATTAGTTTTTAAGTCTTCTGATAGCATTGGCTATTATAAGAAACAAGTATTTGCTCTCGTTTTTAACGGGATAATAATGCTATGTCTACATAAAATGATTTCTACCACCTTAAATAGCTCACTGTAGAAATTCATGTATAAATGGAACCATATAGTACATACATATCATACTCTTAGGTCTGGCAAATATTTGAGGTTCATCCATATTTTATATTCACTCATCAGTAGTTGTAAACACATTCTTAAAGTAGCATTTTCAGATATGAATAAGCAGGGATGAAATAAGTATTAGGGTAAGGGAAATGGTTGAGGCTTTCCTAAGTGAAGTGTAAAAACCACAGCTTTCTTTTTAATGGGATGTCTAATATGCATTTATCTGTTCAAGCATTTTAAGATTTCCATGAAAATGTCCTGAAAAATCAAGATTCTTCATTGAGGGTGAGGATCTCCCAATGGGAGACTGCTCTGAAAAGAGCATGTGCTTTTTGAATTAGATAACCTACTATAATCATGGATGTTCTTGAATACTTAGCAAACATACCAGCATCCCAAAGTCACCAAGATAAACCCTCCTACTCCAACATCACATGATCTTCTAATTCTACCTGTAAAAATAAGCATAACAATTAATTAGAATATAATTACGTTATATACATTACTCCACCTAGAAAAAAAAATAGTTCATTATGTAGAGAAATGCTTTTTTTAGTACATAGAGAAATAAAAAATACAGATACTCACTAGTGAACAAAAAATGTCCAAAGCCAGCCACAACAGATCCTAATGAACCATACAATATTGAATGCCGGGCGCAGGGAGTATTTTCAACATCTAAAAATCCTAGGAGCTTAAGGGACTAGAATGAAAAAAAAGAACCTAGATTGAGTAAGAAAGTATTTCATTTTGGGGTGCTTTGGCAAAAATGACAATACACCATTTCTTTTCTTGTAGTTGAGGGTTTAAACTAGAGTATGTGCCACGTGACAACCTAAATCAGCTTGCGTTGTCTTTGTCCACCTTTGGTATGCAGTCTGAATCTTTAAATCCGAAAACCTTACAAATTGGACCGGAAAACCCTTAAGCAGTAGGGTAACTTGGAGCTGTATCTTAATTTGCTAATCAACTGACTTGGAAATAGGATAATTCATTTTATGAGCTCTTTAAATGAGTTTATTTGGGAATATGCCTATCATTGGAATTGAAAGCAGCATAGCTTGCTTCAGTAACTCCAATAATTTGGGAAGCAGAAATGGAAAAAGTAATTTGAGTCATGTTTGCTTATGTAGTGCCGTTTAAAATTCCCCTAGTAATTACCTTTCATATTTTATTAACTAGGTTAACATCAACTGTGGTTGTAAGAGTAAATGTTTCACCTTAAGATAAACATGGGCAATATATTAAACTCTAGTCTGTTTTCTTGCCTGTGAAGTGAGGCTGCACTTGATTATATTTGATTCTTTGTTCGTAATACATGGGAACGACAGCTAAGTGTGGTGAAAAACGCGGGGATCCAAAGAGCTGGATTTTTATCTCAGATCTGCCGCTAACTTTTGTATCCTATAGGCTACTTTTATTTCTATGGTCTCAATCTATAACATGAATGGGTTGGGTTAAATGACTGAAGTTCCTTCAAGTGCTAAAATTCTTTTTCTACAGTCTTCATTGGATTTATGTATTTCTTATTCCTAATATGTTTAACTGGGATGTCTGTCACTCTAGGGCGGCAAGACAGACATTTAAAAGTAACAGTCACACTGCTGAACTGGCATTTCTGTTAACACAAAAGTTTAGAAAACTCACGGTAACTGTTACTTGATTTAAGTGTATATAAAATTTTCAGTAAGGCTGCTTTTAAAAGGAACCACTGTCCATTTAAAGGTTTCATAGTTATCTTCAATGGGTTAGTATTGTTTGGGGCAGGACATTAAACTAGAAGGGATTCTATAGGATGAGGTGATACCTAGAAGGTAATATATTGTAAGGCAAAAGAGATTAGAAGAAATGGGGAAAGGATAGTAAAAGGCAAGTCAGATTAAAGGTTGAAACATGAAGATATTCTCAATTGTATTTCTGCCTATGTTTGCTTTTTTGGCTCAAGCATCTGTTGGAAGAGACAAAATGTGACTTGGTTCATAATAAAGCAAGAATTATTTACTCTCGGATCATTCTATTCCATTTTTTCCCTCTGTCTGGCCCCGTTCCCACCCGCATGCCTAACATAGGATTGCTTCAAAGCTTTGCAGTACAGTTCTTCACATTACCAAGAGGTTGGGGGATTTCATTTAGCAAGACGACTTTTTCCTATCAGCTTGAGAGCCCAGGGGACATATGATCATGTGGGTAGTGTTATGCAGGTGAGGAATGCTGGACTTAGCGCTCCAGTCCAGGACTACCTCTAAACTAGACTATTTCCCCAAGGATGGGATGCTGGGGCCAGAGGATTAGTACCAGTTTGATCTAGTCTTAGGTGCAAAGATGCAAGTGTGAGACCAGCTTGTACCACAGGATAGAATTAAGTATTTTCTAGTCCCACTCTCAGATTCTGATTTACAATCACTGGAATCTATGTTTAGAAAACTCTAGGTGGTTTTTTCTGATGACTGTCATATTGGGGAAACACTGCTTTAGGAAATTTTATTTTTTTAAATAAAAGTAAATTTGCAAACAATAGGAAAATAGCTCAGCTGACTTTAAAGGCAAATATCTAAATAGAAGCTACACATCTTATTTAAAATAGTGCCTTCTGAAACAAACCCAATCCCCAACAAAACTCTGGTCTAAAATAATAGTGGTTGATCTCATAATTAAGAGCTGCTGGTGGGGGAGGTAGGTATTAGTGCCAGGCTCTCTACATGTTTTTTAATTCTCTAGCCTTTGTGTGAGATTACCTCTGAAACAGGCTCGGGGACTTAAGAGGCTAATAATAAGTGTTGGCAGGAGTGGAGGCAGAAGTCAGTTTCACCACAAAGCCTATGACATTTTCATTGTGCCAAACCACATCATTAAGAAGTAACCAAGGCTGGAGGGTTTGGTGGGGAGCTTTCCAGTTGTCACATATCTAAGGAGTAATAAGATTCAGTACATAAATCCCTGCAATTTCTATCAAAACAGGAAGAATATGCAACGACTTGAGCCTGTATACCTTTACAGTTAAGTACACTGAACTGTAAAATGCTCAGAAGTGGAGATGAATAAAGGATCCCGGGCATAACTCCCTTTGAAGTATTCTATTTATATACGGAAATATTCTGTTCATAATATACATGCCTTTAACATTTCTCTTCTATTCCTTAAGTAGCCTGCATACTTAAGATTTAACTCTTTGCCACTAACAAACGGGAACCCTTAAAAATAAATTAAGGAAATGTCAGACATTTTTTAAGCTTAGATTTAGAAAAGCAGCTTTACCAGCTCACCCTGATCAATCTAAGGAAAGCTCAAGAGATTTCCAAGCCAGAATGTCAATAATGTATAGAAATAGATCTGATCAAATTAGAGACAGTTGATTTTCCACCACTAAATCTGCTTCAGTGCCCGTATTTCTTTCCTCTGGTTGCAAAGGATGAATTGGCCCTATTCCTATCTAATGCTAGTCTTCCCACTTGGGCACTTGATTCCCCTCTTGCATACTCAAGGGCTTGGCTTCTATAGCTACCCCTTTCATTTGCATCGTTAGTTTTTTCACTTGCAATAATTTACTATCAGCCCTCTTGGCCAGGTGCAGTGGCTCACCCGTCATCCCAGCACTTTGGGAGGCCAAAGTGGGTGGATCACTTGAGGTCGGAAGTTCGAGACCAGCCTGGCCAACATGGCAAAACCCTGTCTCTACTAAAAGTACAAAAATTAGCCAGGAATGGTAGCACATGCCTGTAATCCCAGCTACTCGGGAGGCTGAGGCAGAATCGCTTGAGCCCAGGAGGCGGAGGTTGCAGTGAGCCAAGATGGCACCACTGCACTCCAGCCTGGGCAACAGAGCAAGAAGACTCCATCTCAAAAAAAAAACCCAAAAATCCTCTATACACCCCTCTCCTCTCATCAGCCACCTAAACCACCATCCTTTTGGGGCAAAACTTCTGAGTGTAGGTGTGCTTTTCTACTTAAAACCTCCCATTCTCCCTTTAACTCACTTGAGTGAGGCATCTATCCACTGAACTTCACTTGACACCAGTCAAGACCTCTAAAAGACATCCACTGCAGTCTAAATCCGCATCTCAGCATATGTGGCACAAATTATCATTTGTTTTTGAAACTTTTTTACTTTTACTTGGCTTCAAATACGTCTCCTGGTTTTCTATTTCATTGACATTTTTGTTGCTGTTCCCTCCTCTACAGACCTGATTCTGAAGTGCCACTCTTAACTCCTTTGGAATCTAGTCTCTTCCTAGGTATCCCAAGGCTTTCAATTAAATGCCATTATATGATGACTCCAGATTTCTAAATCAAACCCTAATCTCTCCCAAGCTTCAGCCTCATTCATCTGCTTAATGAATGACACTTTTATGTATAAAAAGCACCTTGAACCTCGTATTTGCAAAATATATTTTCACCTCCAAACCTTCCTCTTAATGGCACACTACTCAACCAATTTTCAGACCCAAAAACTAAGAGTCATCCTTGATTCCTTCATCAAATCCACATCAAATATATTAGCAAGTCTGGAAGGATCCACATTCTAAATACATCCTGAGCCAGACCACTGCCCACCAACTTCATTGCTAATACAGGTTGAGCATCCCAAATCTGAAACTGATACATCAAAAGACAATTTTTTTTTTGAATTGGGAAGCTCAACCTGTCCTATCAAATTACCATCTATCAACAGTACCTTTCAGATCTTGATTCTACTCATAAAAATGTGTATCAGATGACTATAATAAGTCCTCTGTAGCCTCCGATTATGCTCAGAATCCTTACCATTGCTCCAAAGGCCCTACATGATCCCATGCTCTTTCATATCCTACTCTTGTCCACTAGTCCAGGTACAGTGGCCTTGCCATTCTAACAAGCCGAGATGGTTATTACCGAACGAACACATGCTGCCTTTCTCCTGGATCTTTGCATGACTGGCTCAGTAGAAGTCTTGCTTATTGATTCCTCCAGTAGAATGTCAGCTCCTTAAAGGGATTTTTCCTGTCTTGATCAGTCTAGTACCTCGTTCAGTGTCTAATACTCAGTAGGTACTCTAAATATTTTTTGAATGGGTGAATTAAGAATTTACCTGAATGTGAATTTACCTGTATGTACCAAATTTCACATTTTAAAGTTTCTTAAAGGACAAGAATGTGGCAGAGGACAGTTTTTAGGGGCTAGTTCTATCAAGGTATGCCAGCTTGGTAACTCCCATTTTTACTTTAGGTTTGCTAATTCTTATAATAAAATAATCCTCCCTGGGTTGTGCTGGAATGATCACTGACAAATTCTTTTAAAAAAAATAACCGCAGGCTTCCTTTCTGACAGCACCTTGGGCTGTTAATTCATCATAGCTTCTATTAATTTAATTAGCTTTTTGATGGGCTCTGATAGGTACTACTGTTTCATGAGCAATTTTTGTTTTTTTGGCCTCCCACCTCTGACTGTGCTCGGTTTGAGGCTTATAACTATCTTCATTTCAACAACTACAGTATTGTTTTGCTACTTACTGATGGGCCAGTTAAATAGGTCAATGTTGATCCTCTTTTAAGTTTTTTTTTTTTAATTTCCAATGGATTAAACCACCTTTATGACCTTTAAAAACAGCAGTTATCTCCTACCAAAAGTCCCATTCAGGATTCCAGTGTTTATCACAAAACTGAATCTAGGATTTACTGTGTGTATGCAAAGATCTTTTTTTTTTTTTAAACACTAAGCTTATTCCAGATGGGCAGTGTATGGGACAGTAAAAACAGATAAGGCACCAGTAGTACGTAAACTGACAACCTGTTGGATATTAAGTATGAAAACAATTTATACAATATTTGTTAATATTAACCATATGATCTGATGTCATGGCCAAATTTGGATGGAAGCCCACCAGAGAAGCAAGCAAGAGCAAGAAGTGAGCAGAATTTCCAAGCTGGGAGAATATCTTAAGTATATATTAGGAGCCATTTAGCACACAGTGGGTCTTCTATAAATATTTGCTCGTGATTAGCCAATGTTACGATCTCCCTAGTTTATATTAAACTTTTTTCCTCTTGCATTATTCTTTTCTGAATACCTGTTCTGCCCTGAGGATATAAATTAGGTTCCCTGCTCTTAATAAGGAGCCCAGGAAAAGAGGAAAACAAGATCATTTATTACCTTCCAATATGATAAATGTAACGACGTACAAGATGCCTGGGAAGATGGGGAAAGTACGTAAGTCAGCTTTGGTGAAACACAGGAGCCCTTCCAGGGAGAGCGCTTGGTTTAGCTTTACTATACCAAGAATTTGGGTTTTATCCTTAAAGAGATAGGATGGGCTGCTACGACTGGATGTTAGGCAGAGGAATGAAAACTGTCCAGTTTACAGGCTGGAAAGGGCCAGCGGACAATAGTGGAAGGTGGATTCAGGAGAGTATGGAGACAGGGACACCAGCTAGGGAGGCTACTGGTGATGGGGAAGAAATCTTAACCCTTCATCTCATCGTAGTACAATCAAGTCATCCCTCAGCAATTACTCCTATGTTAAATGTGATGAATACAACGTGTTAAAGACAAGGCACCTGTCCTCAACGGAGCTTTAATCTCTACTATTAGCCTTTACTAACAAATTACAGTGCAGTGCCCTTAGCAGCAAAATTTTCTCGCCAAAGATTCAGTATTGTTAGCTTATTTCATAATGACCTGTAGTAAGTCATTAGTACTACTGGTCCCCTCCTCCCCCTAGTTTTGGTCAATTTTGTCCCGGCCACTTAGATTAAAATGTTGGAGGCTTGGGATAAGGACTAGGAACAGTTAAAATAGTTTCAAGCCCATGGGTGGCAGAGAAGCCAGTGACACGTGCTCCGGGCCTAGGAGCTCCGCGGAGAACGTCCTTACCCACCGCCCACCCGCGGCGCGCGCCCCGCCGACCCCCAGGTTACCTTCCTCTCCTCGGGCTCACCGGGCTCCGGCGGGGCGGCCATGAGGACTACTCCGCGACTCCACCCGCCCTGCACCGCCGGGGTCGCGGAAGCAGAAGCCCGGCTGGCCGCGCCCCTCCCCGTCCCGCCCCCACGCGCCGCCGCCTCCCGCCCTGTTCCGACGCGCCGGCCGCCATTTTAGGGAATGTTCCTAACGCTCCGCAGTGGCCGCACGGGGCCGGGCTGTCATGTCCTTTGTTCCGTCGAACGGGTCACACTTTCTTCCAAGCTCGGCACACAGCCTGCAGGGGCGGGAGAGCGGAAGGAGATGGGTTCGGAAAACAAACCGACTCCTAGATTCCTGGCGAGGTGGGGGCGTAACCGAGCCAGACAGCCCCGCTTCCCGCGCCAGCCCCCTGCTCCGCCCCAACCGCCATTTCTAACCGTCTCCGGCGCGCGTGCTCACACGCACGAGCCTCGGGCGCGCGCCGAGGGGCGGGGCCGCTGCTTTGTCCTGCGGGGTGGGCCCCACCGCGGGGGTCGGCCCGGCCCCAGCCCCCAGCCCGCCCCAGCCCACCGACCCGGAAGGCGCTCCGCGCTGGCTCGGCGGCCCTCGTCCCCTAAGTGTCCTTTGTCCTTCCGGCCACGGGACGAGCCCTTGGTGCCGGGGCAGCCCCACTCTGCACCAGCAGCCATTTAGTCCCCCGCGCCTGCCTTGCGCAAACGGGGCTCCCACGCCCACCCCACTTCCTCCCTTTTATAGTTTCATTACTAAGTGGCTTTAACATAGAACCGCGCAGTTCGCCTAAAGGAGACTGGGGACAAAATGGAGGGAGCAGCTCGCTAATGAACATGCGTCAGCACGTTGGTGTCCGCGGAGAGGGCGCGCGTGTGGCGAAGTCTTCCGGCGTCCCCGAAGGAAAAATGCCTCTGCAACGTGCATTTTTGATGTGAAGTCGTGTTCCACGTTTCACTCCTCCCTAAGACTGCGACATAACGTGAAACAAAATACTGCATATTGTCGAGCTCAATGGAGAACGCGTGCATGCAGGGTCGAGCCCATTTTTCAGCCATCAAAATAATACAATGCAATTTTTTCTAGTATTTATAATTTTTCCCCTTTAACTTTATGCCTCCTTTATGTACTTCTACATTTCACGTTTAGGTTATATGTAACCTAAGGGCACTCCTTAGGAAACTGGACTTGTAGAATATGTCATTGTGCAAAGTCATGCTGCTTCGAATTATGCTGCGCGCTGGCACACAGCAAGCGCTCAGTGTTAACGATGTCGAATTCATATTAAGTACTGTTCATTGGGCGTTTTCTTACTCCGTAAGGACCTTACTTGCATGCCCATTTGATACCTTTCTACAATCCCAGTAAAATACACAGTTAAGGTTGTGTATTTATGTGTCACATTTTTTTTTTTGAGGTTTTTTTTTGCGGGGGCGGGGGGGGTTTTTTTGTTTTTGTTTTTGAAATTGTAGTTAGAAACTACATACTGTGCCGGGCGCGGAGGCTCACGCCTGTAATCCCAACACTTTGGGGGCTGAGGCGGGCGGATCACGAGGTCAGGAGTTCGGGACCAGCCTGGTCAACTTGGTGAAACCTCGCCTCTACTAAAAATACAAAAATTAGCCTGGCGTGGTGGGGGGCGCCTGTAATCCCAGCTACTCGGCAGCCTGAGGAAGGAGAATAGCTTGAAAACGGAAGGCGGAGGTTGCAGGGAGCCGAGATCGTGCCACTGTACTCCAGCCTGGGAGAAAGAGCGAAACTCCGTCTGGGCGGGGGGAGAAACTACATACTGCTCTACTGTTTGCTAGGGAAAAGAAAAAAAGTCACCCTACTGGTGATATCCTGCCAATTCTGGATTCTCTGCTGAAATTATAATGCTAACTATGCTTTGAACTCCGGATCTGAAAGGCCGTGTTGAAGGTAGTAATATTCCATGAAGGAGGGGGAAATCCTTTTGAAGTCATTGTTGATTATGTTGTAAAAGGAAAACTGGAAAAGTACCAGCTAAAACACCACCGAGTCATCCTATTTTATTTTTATTATGACTTTGAAAATTTGCTAGAGTAGACATTGTTGGGGTCTATTTCATTTGTCTTTGAAAAGTATTTTCATAAGGATGATTTATTTTTTATTTTTTATTTTTTTTGAGACAGAGTCTCACTTTGTCGCTCAGGCTGGAGTGCAGTGGCGCAATCTCAGCTCACTGCAACCTCTGCCTCCCGGGTTCAAGTGATTCTCCTGCCTCAGCTTCCTGAGTAGCAGCTGGGATTACAGGCGCCTGCCACCACACCCGGCTAATTTTTGTATTTTTAGTAGAGAAAGGGTTTCACTATGTTGGCCAGGCTGGCCTCAAACTCCTGACCTCAGGTGATACGCCTGCCTCTGGTTTCCAGAGTGCTGGGATTACAGGCGTGAGCCACTGCGCCTGGCCTATTTTAAAATTTTTATTTTCACAAAATTGCATATAATATTTCCATTTTTAATTGTTTAACAGTTATAGAAAGGAAAGTAAAAATCTCAGTTCTTTCTCTCCTTTTTAAGGTAAATATAACTAACAGTTTGATGTCTCTCTTTTCAAACTCTTCTTTATCCTTCTTAAAAACAATTATTTGTAGAGACGGGAGGTGGGGGATGGTGTGTCACTTTGTTGCCCAGGCTGGTCTCAAACTCCTGGACTAAAGTGATCCTCCTGTCTCACCCTCCCAAAGTGCTGGGATTACAGACATGAGCTATGGCACCCGGCTTTTTCTTAATTAAATATTATTACACGAGGCCGGGCACGGTGGCTCATGCCGGTAATCCTAGCACTTTGGGAGGCCGAGGTGGGTGGATCAGCTGAGGTCAGGAGTTCAAGACCAGCCTGGCCAGCATGGCAAAACCCTGTCTCTACTAAAAATACAAAAATTAGCTGGGCATGGTGGCACACACCTGTAATCCCATCTTGGGAGGCTGAGGCAGGAGAATCGCTTGAACCCAAGAGGTGGAGGTTGTGGTGAGCCGAGATCGTGCCATTGCACTCCAGCCTGGGCAGCAAGAGCGAAACTTCGTCTCAAAAACAAAAAAAAATTATCCCACGAATACCTATATTTTGTCTTAATTAAAACAACACTGGAATATATGGGGTAAATAATGAAAGGCTCTATGTCACACTTGCCTCCACGCTTATGTATACATGTATCTGTATGTGATACACGCTGAAATGACACTGTACCACATCATTTGCATTCAGTAATTTACTTTTTGCCATATATCTGGGAACTTGTTTGATTTATGTACTACAGATTTACTCATTCATTTTAATGACTGCTTAGTAATCCTTTCTTTTCTTTCTGATTGACATTTCTTTTTTTTTTTTTTTTTTTTTTTTTGAGACAGCGTCTCGCTCTGTCGCCCAGGCTGGAGTGCAGTGGCGTGATCTCGGCTCACTGCAGCCTCCGCCTCCCGGGTTCAAGCGATTCTCCTGCCTCAGCCTCCTGAGTAGCTGGGACTACAGGCGCCCGCCACCACGCCCAGCTAATTTTTATATTTTTAATGGAGACGGCGTTTCACCATGTTGGCCAGGAAGGTCTCGATCTCTTGACCTCGTGAGCCGCCCACCTCGGCCTCCCAAACTGCTGGGATTACAGGCGTGAGCCACCGCGCCCGGCCTCTGATTGACATTTCTGAAAGTTTCCATTTTTTACTAATCCCCAAAAATGCTTCAATCAGCATCTTTATGCATACATATATATCTGTGTACATGTTCAAGTATTTCTGTAGGGTAAATATCTGGAAGTGGAATAACTGATTTAAAGGGGTATACACAATTTAAAATGTAATACATACTGCTAATTTGTCCTCCAAAAATACTATCAATCTACATTCCCCACCAACTGTATGGGAGAGTTACCTGTTTCCTCACCTTTTCAACACTGCATATGTTCACATTTTTTAATTTGGGGGAGGGTGGGCGTGATGGCTCAGGCCTGCGATCCCCTTACAATTTGAGAGGCCAAAGCAAGAGGATCTCTTCAGGCCAGGAGTTCGAGACCAGCCTGGGCAACAAACGAGACTCCTCCCAACACCCATCTCTGTCAAAAAAAAACAAAAAACAAAAAACAAAAAAAAAACAAAAAAAAAAACCAAAAAAAAAAACAAAATTAGCTGGGCTCAGTGGCATGTGCCTGTAATCCCAGCTTTTGGGGAGTTTTGGGGGTAGCTGAGGCAGGAGGAAGCATTGCTTGAGTCCAGGAGCTTGAGGATGCAGTGAGCTATGATTGTGCCACTGCACTCCAGCTTGGGCGACAGAGCAAGACCCTGTCTCTAAGCTGAATCTCATGGGGGCGGAAATGGTATCTTATTGCTTTAAACTTTTCCTGATTGCTACTGTGGTTGAGCATTCTTCCAAATGTTTATTGACCGTTCTTTCTCTAAGAATTAACTTTGTATAGCTTTTGTGTGTTTAAAAATTTGGGGACAGCACTTTGGGAAGCCAACGTGGGCAGATCACATGAGGTCAGGAGTTTGAGACCAGCCTGGCCAACATGGCGAAACCCCGTCTCTACTAAAAATACAAAAATCAGCCAGGTATGGTAGTGTGCACCTGCAGTCCCAGCTACTCGGGAGGCTGAGGCAGGAGAATTGCTTGAACCCAGGAGGCGGAGGTTGCAGTAAGTCGACTGTGCCATTACACTCCAGCCTGGGCGACAAAGTGAGACTCTGTCTCAAAATAAATAAATAAAATTGGTTGTGTATGTGATTTTCGTGTTAAAGTAGCTCTTTACAAGCATAGTTTTTAGTCCTTATATATGTAACGAATATTTTCTGCATGTTCACTTATTTGTTGTTTTTGTTTATGGGGTCTTTTATTTCTCAAACGTTTTAACTCTTTTTTTCTTGCAGAGTCAAATATGTCAATATTTCCTTTTATGGTGCTTGATCTTGTGTCTTGCCTAAGTAGGCATTCTTGACTCATAATGAAAACATACTTTCATGATTTTGAAAATAATTCTATACTCCCTTTCTCATTCATAATTTTGAATATTTTTTCTTCTAAAAAGACCAACTTTTGGTTTTACTATTTTTTATTTCATTTTCTATTTTACATTTTAAAAAATTTACCTGATCTATTCTATTGTCTTTTTTTAGCTTTTTGAATTGACTACTTCATTCACTTTTTCTCCGTCTTTTTTGGTTTCTAATGAATGTCGTTATGACTATAAAATTCCCTCTGAGAATCATTTTATTGTTCATTATATCAGATTGTCATAGAGGTAATGTTCCTGTTAATCTTTCCTAAATTTTGTATAATTTCAGCTTTTATTTCACAAGTGAATATGATTGGATATGCTTTTGTTGTTCATTTCTATTTTTTGTCTTATTATGTCTTATACTGTGGCCTGTTTATTTCTACTTTTGGGGGTTTATTGATTGTATGTGGGGTGTGTGTGTGGTCTTACCTAAGAGATATCATTTCTGGCCTGGCATGGTGGCTCATGCCTGTAATCCTAGCACTTTGGGAGGCTGAGGCAGGTGGATCACTTGAGGTCAGGAGTTCAAAACCAGCGTGGCCAACGTGGTGAAACCCCGTCTCTACTAAAAATACAAAAAAATTAGCCGGGCATGGTGGCGCATGCCTGTAGTCCCAGCTACTCGGGAGGCTGAGGCAGGAGACTTGCTTGAACCCGTGAGGTGGAGGTTGCAGTGAGCCAAGATCGCACCACTGCACTCCAGCCTGGGCAACAGAGTGAGACTCCGTATCAAAAAAAAAAAAAAAGATATCGTTTTGTTCCTGTTACATGGGGATTTGGAAAGAATGTGCATTCTCTATAATAGCATTAAACCAAGCTTATCAATTGTAATATGTTGTATATTATCGTTATATATAAGTATGTAAAATATAATAGCATTCGGTCAAGCTTATCATTCAGCCATATTTGTATTGTAATGGTTTTTCATTGCAAGCAACAGACTCTGACTCTAGTTATCACGAACAAGAAGAAAAGGTCTTCCCTCTGTTGGGAAGATGTGGAGAAACTTACCGAATTGAAGAGAAAGCCGAAGAACCAGGTCTGGAAAGGGACAGCATTCAGGACACGTCTGGCAAGAACAAAATGAGTGGCTCTTCAGGATTCCCTGCTAGGAATCATGGCCGTGGCCTCTCCAGTCTGACGCCTTATATTGTGCTTTGTGTTTTTATCATGTTGTCTTGTGAGACTGACTCCCTGTGTGTCTGGCGGTCGATACAAGTTATGATTCCAGGCCGGGCGCGGTGGCTTACGCCAGTAATCCCAGCCCTTTGGGAGGCCGAGGTGGGCGGATCGCCTGAGGTCAGGAGTTCAAGACCAGCTTGGCCAGCATGGTAAAACCCTGTCTCTACTAAAAGGACAAAAATTAGCCGGGCGTGGTGGCGCGTTTGTAATCGCAGCTGCTCGGGAGGCCGAGACAGGAGAATCGCTTGAACTTGGGAGGTGGAGGTTGCAGTGAGCAGAGATCACGCCACCGCATTCCAGCCTGGGCGACAGAGTGAGATTCTGTCTCAAAAAAGAAAAGTAATGATTCTAGAAGCCGGGAGTGAGGTGGCCATTTAGCTTAGTGGCAGAGCAGAACCTCTGATTGATTGATTGATTGATTGATTGATTGATTTATTAAGGCAGAGCTTCACTCTCGTTGCCCGGGCTGGAGTGCAGCAGCGCAATCTCGGCTCGTGATCTTGGCTCACCACAACCTCCACCTCCCAGGTTCAAGGGATTCTCCTGCCGCAGCCTCCCAAGTAGCTGGGATTACAGGCATGTGCCACCACGCCTGGCTAATTTTTGTATTTTTAGTCCAGATGGGGTTTCACCACGTTAGTCAAGCTGGTGTCGAACTCCTGACCTCAGGCAATCCACAGGGCCCGGCCTCCCAAAGTGCTGGGATCGCAGGCGTGAGTCACCGCGCCCAGTGAAAACTGTTCTCTTAAAGGGGTGCCTTCCCTCCGGTGGCTGTCAGTCCCCTGGGACCCCGCCCGGAGTTTCCGCTTTCATTCCCTCCTGTGGGAGGAAGTGCAGTGTCAGGAATCGCATCCTAGAGGTGCGGTTATCTGCAGGCTACAGGATGGGCTGAAGGGAAACAGGGACGTCACTTTAGGGGTTTGGGATGGGGGCTTTGCTGGCAAAACTTACTTTTTGAGGTTCTCTCTTTGGCTTGTCTGGGGTTGTTTTTAATATGTTGGGATTAGAAATCAATGTGATTCCAAGTGTCTTGTACTCAGAAAATTTTAACTGTCTTGGTTTGCTGCTGCTGCATTCTCCTGGCTTCCCAGCAGTTACCAGCTTATTTATATATATAAATTTATATAAATAATAAATATATACATATACAAGTTTATATATAATCAATAACAAATATATATATTTATATATATTTTTTCTTTTTTTCTTTTTGAGACAGGTCTTGCTCTGTTGCCCAGGCTGGAGTGCAGTGGTGGGATCTCGGCTCACTGCAAACTTTGCCTCCCGGGCTCAGGTGATCCTCCCACCTCAGCCTTCTGAGTAGCTGGGACTACAGGTGCCTGCCACCATGCCCAGCCTAGAGAAGGGTTTTGTCTTGTTGCCCAGACTGGTCTCGAACTGCTGAGCTCAAGTGATCCACATGCCTCGCCCTCCTAAAGTGCTAGGATTATAGGCGTCAGTCACCGTGCCAGGCCTTTTATATTCTTTCTGTCATTTCAATAGGTTTTGGAGGAAAGAGTGATAAAAGTTTGTGTTCAGTCTTCTATAACCAGAAGTCTGCCTCAGTAGTATTTGTGTATGTGAGTACTCACATGAGTGTGTGCATATGTGTAAGTCTAATAGTACTACAGGGCTTGTAAAGAAAACCAGCTGGCCGGGCATGGTGGCTCATACCTGTAACTCCAGCACTTTGGGAGGCCAAGGAGGGTGGATTACTTAAGGCCAGGAGTGCGAGACCAGCTTGGCTGACATGGTGAAACCCCGTCTCTACTAAAAATACAAAAATTAGCCAGGCGTGGTGGAATATGCCTGTAGTCCCAGCTACTCGGGAGGCTGAGGCAGGAGACTCACTTGAACCTGGGAGGTGGAGGTTATAGTGAGCCAAGATCACGCCACTGCACTCCAGCCTGGATGACAGAGCGAGACTCCGTCTCAAAAAAAAAAAAAAAAAAAAAAAGCCAGCTCTTTTCTTTCTGCACATTTCTCTCTACGCTGGAGTTCTGCACCCTGCAGGTAATAACTTTGGTCTCTTTTGGCCCTTTCTTCTGCCAGTTTACCTTCTTATTTCTAAATAAAATGTTCATTCTGCTATTTCTTGATTTTTTTCATTTGAGGTGTTATCTATTGATAATGAATATTTAGCTCCATTTTCTGCACCCTTCTCTACCCTCATCCTCTCAGTGTGGTTACATCACATTTTAAAAAAGTTAAAACCGCCGGGCGCAGTGGCTAGTGCCTGTAATCCCAGCACTTTGGGAGGCCGAGGTGGGCGGATCACGAGGTCAGGAGTTTGAGACCGACCTGTCCAACATGGTGAAACCCTGTCTCTACTGAAAATACAAAAATTAGCCGGTCGTGGTGGCAGGCACCTGTAATCCCAGCTACTTGGGAGGCTGAGGCAGGAGAATCGCTTGAGCCTGGGAGGCAGAGGTTGCAGTGAGCCAAGATTGTGCCACTGCACTCCAGCCTGGGCAACAAGAGCAAGACTCCATCTCAAAAATAAATAAATAAATAAATAAAATAAATTTAAAAAAAAAGTTAAACCAGCATTCAGTGTGTGCATTGTCGTGATGGTGTAAGTATTGCTCATAGCTGAGCCATGCATAGTACTATGATTTCATTGCTTATAAAACTTTTTATTGTTCCTGGAGTTAATAACTGTTTTGTTTATTTGCTGAATTTTGTTGAAGCCAACTCTTACTGGCCCTTGAGAGCCGATTGTGGACATCCTTTGCCAACTCTGCGTGCAAATGTTGGTAGTTTGAAATCAGCTACGGTGGAAGTATTTATGCCACAGAAATCAAACAATGCTACAAATCAGGGCCTCTTGTTTTTTGGGCTTTTTGTTGTTATTTTTCAGAGAGGTGGTTTACCAATACACCACTGAACATACCTATCCATTTTTCCCTGGAAATTCTCCTACAGAGTTATAAAACTCTCCACAATATGGCCAAATGTATCACATGATCCACCTGTCAGTACTTTTTTTTCTTGGAAACATCACCCCTGGAGTTTTTTTTTTGTTTTTTTTTTTTTCGAGACAGAGTCTCTCTGTGTCGTCCAGGCTGGAGTGCAATGGCATGATCTCAGGCCACTTCAACCTCCACCTCCCGGGCTCAAGAGATTCTCCTGCCTCAGCCTCCCGAGTAGCTGGGATTATAGGCGTGAGCCACCACGACTGGCCTCCCCTGGAGTTTTTGTCTTCCTGCTCCAGTCAATGATGGCTGCTTTCTAAGACTAGTTCCCACTTGTTGTCCTGGAGGGTCTTGTAAACTCATGCTGAACCACCTGCTCCTCCATTCCACATCATTCTTTTCTTGGCTTACTCCTTCATTTTGGAGAAGAGTATCCTTCAGCAACTTCCTGGAAGTTACTGAAGAGAACTTTTTGCAGAGAAGGTATATATTTTAAGATCTCATATGCCCACAATATTTTTGCTCCTTTCAACTTCAATACCTGGTTAAAATTGCATTTCTACAATTATTCTCCACCAGAATGATTATCCCTCCTAGATATAAAGCAGTCTCCTACATAACCATAATGCTGTTATCACAACTAAGAAAACTAGCAATAATTCCAGAATACCATCTAGCATATAGTACATATTCAGAGTTCCCCAAGTGTTCAAAGAAATTTTCCCAATTGTCTAAGCTTTTGTTGTTTTCAGACATGCTGCTGCCTATGGTTGCTATATCTCTGGGTTTCCTTAGTCTAGGACAATCTCCCCATCTTATTTTTTTTATGACATTGATTTTTTAGGAAGTCTAAGGCGATTGTTTTGTAAAATGTCCCACATTCTGGATTGTCTCTTGGTGTCATTTAACTTGTCTGTCTACTATCCCTTTCTTTCCTCTAAACTGGAAGTTCAGTCTAGGGCTGCCTAATCCAGTATCATAGCCACAAGCCTCATGTAGCTCTGGAGCCCTTGCAATGTGGTGAATACAGCTGAGGAACTGAATTTAAATTTCATTTCATCTTTGTTAAGTTGAATTTAAACTGAAAAACTGATACTCAATTCAGTGATAGGAAAAATGTATGTGTGGAACAACTTGGAGCTAGTTTTTCAATTGCAAATTTTATGAAATCTAAATACAGATCAAGTATTTCCAATGAAGATTTAGCATCTGAATTGAAATGTACTTAAAGTGTAAAAACACATGCTGAAAATACATGACTCAGTACAAAAAAGAATATAAAATATTAATTTTAAAATATGGATTACATGTTAAAATCGTAATATTTCGGATATACTGGGTTAGCTAAAGTATGTTTTTAAACTAATTTCACCCCGGGCTTTTCTCTTTTGTTTTTACTTTCCAAATGCAGTTACCAGAAAATTTTGAATTACATAAGTGGCTTACATATATTTGTATTGACATGTGCTGGTCTAGGAGCCTGATTCAATTTAGGTTAAACATTTTGGGCAAAAATACTTCTAGACGATGTGGATTTCAAATTTTATCACATTGGAAGGCACATACGTCAGATTGTGCTACCATTAGCGACGCTAACTTTGATCACTGGGTTAAGATGGAGACTGCCAGAACTTGCCATTGTAAAGATACGCTTCTCGCTTTCAATTAAAAACCCATGCAAATATCCTGTTACCAAAAATCTGTTCACCTAATGGTTTTAGCACTTTGTGAGTATCCTTGACGGAATCAGCGATTACACTGGAGTTAGCAAATGTTGACCTTATTCTGTCAATCCATTTATTAGCTAGCATTCGTCTGTGAAGCACTCCCGCCTCCCTTTTCATATACATGTATCTTTATATGAAATATTTATTTAATGGGTTTCAATTAATTATGGTTATTCTTTTTGAAGCCCACATCCTTTCCTTGAACATTCCCTGGCCATTTCTTCAAGGAACTCTTGTTTGTTTCAGTGGGGATTAAGTTGCTTCTTAAAGCCCCTTGAGATGAATTTTTTTTAAGTATAAGAAGAACACTGAGGCCGGGCACGGTGGCTCACACCTGTAATCCCAGCACTTTGGAAGGCTGAGGCTGGTGGATCACTGGAGGTCAGGAGTTCAAGACTGGCCTGGCCAACATGGTAAAACCCTGTCTCCGCTAAAAATACAAAAATTAGCCGGGCATGGTGGTGGGCACTTGTAATCCCAGCTACTTGGGAGCCTGAGGCAGGAGAATTGCTTGAACCTGAGAGGCGGACGCTGTAGTAAGCCAAGATCATGCCAGTGCATTCCAGCCTGGGTGACAGAGCGAGACTCCATCTCAAAAACAAACAAAACAAAAGAAAAAACCATTGATACAATTTTATTAAAGATAATGCTTTGTATATACATGTCAGTTCCATCTACATTGCTGATCATAGAATGAAAGCATTGCACCTTGTTTTTGAGCCATTATTTTCTTTAAATGCATATTAAAGCTATATCTTGGCTGGCCTTAGGTTTCATATCTGCAAAACTGAGATTATAATACATCTCTGAAAATGAGGACAAGAAATAGAATATGCAGAGTTCTGGGCTCATTCTTGTTGCTGTGTCCCTGGAGACCCAAGCTGGGCAAGCCTCTGCTCCTCATCATTATCATCATCATCTCCCCAATTCCCAGTTCTTTATTATTATTATTATTTTAAAATTTCAGTTGTCTCTGACAGAAAGACCCTGTCTCCAAAAAAAAAAAAAAAAAAGCGGTACATTCCATGGCTGTATGAGGGTCCTTAGAGTCAATCTTTTCTGAAATATATCCATATGAATTTGAGATTAGTTATCTTGAAGTGCATAGAAATTACTCATATTCCTAATACATTTATTAAGCACTGATGAAGGGATACTTATTACCCTTTTTTTTTTTTTTTTTTGAGGCAGTGTCTCGCTCTGTTGCCCAGGCTGGAGTGCTGTGGTGTGATCTCGGCTCACTGCAATCTCCACCTCCTGGGCTCAAGCGATCCTCCCACCTCAGCCTCCCGAGTAGCTGGGATTACAGGCGTGCACCACCACACCCACCCAGATAATTTTTGTATTTTTAGTAGAGATGGGGTTTCACTATGTTGGCCAGGCTGGTCTCAAACTCCTGACCTCAGGTGATCTGCCCGCCTTGGCCTCCAAAGTGCTGGGATTACAGGCTGAGACACCTCACCCAGCCCAGAATACTTACTAACTTTTTAACGTATCAATATTTAAGGACTTTGACATAACTCCTTTTGCAAATTTTAGAATTATTTTTTCCCACCTAAACCAATATACATTTACATTTGGGTTGTACATGCATATAAAAACATGCACATTTTACTGGGCTTTATACCACTGTTTGAGATGGCAGGTAGTGAGTGACACGGAGGGGCTGGGGGCTGGGGGACCTCTTGCCAGCACCTTGAACCCACAGTTGCACCTCAACTCTCTCCAGCTCTGCCACCTTGAGCCAGTCACTGGACCTCAATTTCCTCCTCTATAAAAGGAGGTATTAGTGTCTCTCCCTCACAGTGTAACGTTGAATCAAAGATGTTAAGAGATTTGCTTAAGGTTACGCAATTATGCAATTAGTATGGATATCAGACTGTTTTTTGTTTGTTTGTTTCTTTTCATTTGAGAAAGAGTCTCGCTGTATCACCCAGGCTGCAGCGCAGTGGCGTGATCTCGGCTCACTGCAACCTCTGCCTCCGGGCTCAAGTGATTCTCCTGGCTCAGCCTCCCGAGTAGCTGGGATTACAGGCGCCCGCTACCACACCTGGCTAATTTGTGTATATTTAGTAGAGACGGGCTTCACCATGTTGACCAGGCTGGTCTTGAACTTCTGACCTCAGGTGATCCAACCTCCTTGGCCTCCCAAAGTGCTGGGATTACAGGCGTGAGCCACCGCGCCTGGCCCTAAGTGGACGCTTTCTTTCCAGCAATCCTTTGTGGAACTTCTGTTTTGCATTTAGAATGGGAAAATCGTGTTTGTATTTGAAGGCGAATTTTCAAAGGCACAAGATGTTAAGTCCTAACCCTGAGAACTGTTTCATGGGCAGCAATATCAGCTAATTAAATTTGAAAAAAGGAAAGACAAAAGGAGAAAAAAGTTAAAAATAATAGCATACAGTTAGGGAGCCATTGAACTTCTGTGCAAACTTATTTGGATTTTGTTTGGTTAGTTGGTTGTTTTTGTTTTTGTTTTTGTTTTTTAGACAGAGTCTCACTCTGTCACCAGGCTGGAGTGCAGTGGTGTGATCTCAGCTCACTGCAACCTCCGCCTCCTGAGTTCAAGCGATTCTCCTGCCTCAGCCTCCCAAGTAGCTGGGATTATGGGCGCCCGCCACCATGCACAGCTAATTTTTGTATATTTAGTAGAGACAGGGTTTCACCACGTTGGCCAGGGTGGTCTCGATCTCTTGACCTCATGATCCACCCGCCTCGACCTCCCAAAGTGTTGGAATTACAGGTGTCAGCCACCGCACCTGGCCTGTTTGTTTGTTTTTTGAGACGGAGTCTCGCTCTGTCGCCCAGGCTAGAGTGCAGTGGCATGATCTCGGCTCACTGCAGTCTCCACCTCCCAGGTTCAGGCGATTCTTTTGTCTCAGACTCCCAGGTTGCTGGTATTACAGGCACCCACCACCACGCCTGGCTCATTTTTATATTTTTAGTAGAGATGGGGTTTCACCATGTTGGCCAGGCTGGTCTCAAACTCCTGACCTCAAATGATCCGCCTGCCTTGGCCTCCCAAAGTGCTGGGATTACAGACATGAGCCACCACGCTCAGCCCCTTAATTAATTTTATTTATTTTTATTTTTTAAGACAGAGTCTTGCTCTGTTGCCCAGGCTGGAGTGCAGTGGTGCGATCTCGGCTCACTGCAACCTCTGCCTCCTGGGTTCAAGAGATTCTCCCACTGTTACTGGAAAGGGGTCCCAATCCAGACCCCAAGAGAGGGTTCTTGGATCTTGGGCAAGAAGTAATTCAGGGCGAGTCCATAGAGTAAAGTGAAAGCAAGTTTATTAGGAAAGTAGAGGAATAAAGAATGGCTACTCCACAGACAGAGCCGCCCGAGGGTTGCGGGTCGCCCATTTTTATGGTTATTTCTTGATGATATGCTAAACAAGGGGTGGATTATTCATGCCTCTCCTTTTTAGACTATATAGGGTAACTTCCTGACGTCGCCATGGCATTTGTAAACTGTCATGGTGCTGGTGGGAGTGTAGCAGTGAGGAAAACCAGAGGTCACTTTCATCACTATCTTGGTTTTGGTAGGATTTGGCCGGCTCCTTTACTGCAACCTGTTTTATCAGCAAGGTCTTTATCAGCTGTATCTTGTGCTGACCTCCTATTTCATCCTGTGACTCAGGATGCCTAACTACCTGGGAATGTAGCCCAGTACATTTCAGTCTTACTTTACCCAGCCCCTACTCAAGAGGGAATTGCTCTGGTTCAAATGCCTCTGACATTTCCCCCCTCCCTTTTATAAGAGAATCCTTAATCCTAAGAGTTGCAGAGGGACAAAGATCCATCTTCTGCAACTTCTTCAGGCTGAATAGGGGCAATTATATTACTGCCCAACTACTGGGTCTTTTGCATTCAGGGTAGAGAGGAGCTCAGTCAGAAAGCATCCATATGGTGAGGGCCATTCATAACTCTTGAATTCCGACAGAAGGTGATATCATAAGTGTTAAATTTAAGAAAACGTTGAGTAAACTTATCCTCATTTTTACACAAAGAGTACAACAACAATATATTCCACAAGAGTAAAGCAAAATAAGTAAAATTATTCCAAGTAAACTAAATTAGAAGGCTTCCCATCAACTGGGCAACTGTTGGAACTAAGCTGATACGGGGTTGTTAGCAATTCCAATGCATGCCCAGAATTAGAATACTGATCCAGATTTTTACATTACCCATCCCTTTTTTTTTTTTTTTGAGCTGCAGCCAGAGATCACTGGTTGGTTCACAGGAATAAGCAGGGTTAGCCTAAATTACAGAAACAAACTTAAAAACAACTCATGAGACTAGAATCTAATAACAGGTGTATTATAGTTCTTGAAATATAATTTTTCTCTCTCCAGTTTCTCATTTTTACTAAATACAAATCATGGTAAGGCCGATTTACTTTATTGTATTTGGTCTGATTATTTGTATAAAATGCAGCAAG